>NC_000006.12:14453939-14605454 GCF_000001405.40 Homo sapiens
GGTACTGTCTTATTCACTTGGGCTGCCATAACAAAATACCACACACAGTCTTAAACAACAGAATTTTATTCTCTCACAGTCTTGGAGGCTGAGAAGTCCAAGATCAAGGTGCCAATTTGATTCCTGGTGAGGGCTCTCTTCCTGGTTTGCAGACAGCTGGCTTCTGGCTGTGTCCTCACATGGCCTTTCTTCTGAGTGTGCATGAAAAGAGACGGTGGGGGGGACATCCCTGGTGTCTCTTCCTCTCTTTATGAGGCCACCAGTCCAGTTGGATTAGGGGTCCACCCTTGTGATCCCACTTAGCCGTAATTACCTCATAAAGGCCCTATCTCCAAATATAGTCATATTGGGGGGGGGGCAGTTAAGACTTTAGCATACGAATTTGGTGGGGACACAGTTTAGTCCATAGCAAGCCCAGACAAAATATAGCTGACTCACTTAGTACTTGGACCACTCCCCTTACAAGCCCTTTATTATTTTCATACACCCAGGTCCAGGTGTGCCCAAGCAGCAGCTATATCTGTTTATCAGAGGGCTGCCCTCGGTCCAGAAACTATTTTGATAGTGCAATAATGAAGACTGACTTCCTTATAGAAATGACAGTCCTTAACCGGTGAATGACAGGTGAGAGGGAGGTGTAAATACTCTAGCTTCCTTGGCCCCTGGCCAGGACAGCAGTGACAGTACACAGGAAGATCTGGAGAGAGAGTAAGTCACATCTCAGCGTTTCCTTTCCTGGGGCTTTGCTCAGTGTTGCACCCTGTCCTGGCATCCTCCTTTCCTTTTGGGGCCCACTTCTCAAACCCCTAACCAGTTTTTTCCGGTAATATTCCTTAAATGAATCACTCAGGGTCTGCTTCTGGGGAGTCCAACCTCAGACAACACAAGACCCAAGTGGCAATATTTGTTCCAACACCCAGAATCAACCCAGCATCCCCTCAGCTTAGATGATTTCTCAACATTATGAAGTTCAGGCATCCTAGGTCATTTCACAAAGATTCTCAGAGTGAAAGAATCTATAATCCTGTTACATAAGCATAATAGGCAACTGTTCTTCCACTCTATGGAGTCTTCCAGAAGATCCCAGCTCAAAGTCAGTACCATGGCCCTAAGGGAAATTCTGCTTCCTCAGTCTTAATTCAGAACAACCTAGGCCTTGGCCAAAACTTGCAATCAAGACACCCACAAATCACATCATGTTCCCCTCTCCCTGTAGCCGAGCAATTATCAAAGCCAACTGGGGGCTATATATAGCATTCACCAACTTTGGAAAACTTTTCAAAAATTGTTTTAGTTTCTTTCTTATTGTCTCCCCAGAGTCTGGTAATTCTGGAAAGAGGCCTGTAGATTGCCACTTGGGGAGTCCAGCAGAAAACCAATCCTGCAACTCCAGAAAGCTGGACAGTGACCCTGCTTTTTCCTCTTCTGGGAGCTGTCAGCTCTCTCCTTCCTCCTGGCCCTTGGAGCCTCAGAATTGACTCCTATTGCTCTGCAGAGTGGGCTGCATTGGACACAGTGCAAAGAGTAAAACCAATGATTCAAATGGGGAGAACTGCAGTTACTAGAGCTTCTCCTGCCTCCTATTTACATAAACTTCAAGAACATCGAGTTTAGGGGAAGCATTCGCATTTGATTCAACATGACACACTCCCCAGGAAACTTTCCACAGTGCCCACATCACTAGAGCCTGGGCTTGCTATGATCACCATGGCTCTTGGGCCAACCCTGAGAACATTCCAAAGATACAAGCTTGGGCTGGAAGCCTAGAGAGAAATACCCAGAAGTCCTACAGTTTATTCCATCTCAATACATACTTCTCAGACAAGGGCTTGTAGGAAGGCAGATACGACAGGAAAGGAGGTCTCAGGAAAGCTCTCCAAGTCCCAATTCTTAGTCTTAGCTTCCCATGTTGAAGGTACTGATGGCCTTGGAATGGTGGACTTGGACCTGGATTTTCATGTACAGTTTAGTTTATACAGAGGGTGCTTCCCAAGCTTTGTGAAGGAAAGGAGAAGCTCTGTGGGAAGGAAAAAGACGGAAGTGGGGAGAGGAAAAGAGAAGCAGTAGGTAGCAAGGTTTGCCTTGTGTAGGTCATGACTTATTCAAGTTTTGCAGGACATGTGTTTCAGGGCCTTGTTTTCGCCATCAACGCACAGATCTGAGGGCGGCCTAGTGAGCACATCCCCCCACCTCCCCCCACCACAGGAGTGTTTGTGTTGGAGGCGGGAGTGTTAAATTCCAACCTCAGCACAACTCTTGAAGACTCTGCCAGTTCAGGTGTGGCAAACAACAAAATGTGTTTTTGCTTTTCTTTTCTCTTTCCTTTCTTGCCAATCAGAGTGAATGGATTCTGAGCTTTCATTGGTGTTTAAATTAATTTTTGATGAAAAAATAAAGTTGGGGGCGGGGGAGTGGGAGTTAAAATTACAGTCTGCTCTATAAAGGCAAAGTAACTTCTGGAAGGTCATGAGCTGCTACTGGCAAGCGTGGCCTGGAGTTAGGAACAATGTACTTGCTGTTTCAGGAGCAAATCCAGGCTGGAGAAGGCTCTCTCTGCATAACCCAGGATTGGATTTAGTTCTGGATTCATGCAGACCTCTCTGGCAGCTGATGGACAAGTTAGGGCTGTATGAGCATTGGCCTGTCGCTGGCCCAGACTTCATTCTTTAGTCCTGAGGCCACAGCATTTCCATGTGGACTTATGAATCCAGTGAGAGAGGGAGAGTGGAGAAGAAGCTGGCGTGGCCCCTTGGCTCTTTTATTACCTAGGATAGTGCTTGGCATGCCATAGGTGCTCATCGTGTGTGTATTGAGTAAAGAACTTACCAAAGCAGCCCTATTCTCTATAGTTGTTCACTGAGGAGGTGCAAGCAAGATACAGGTGGTGCTATTAAATGAGAGAAACATACGAGGATCTTCTTAATTTCTCTCTTTCTAAACCTAAAAATTAGATATGCCATTGAACTTTGTGAGAAAGGGGATGGAAGAAGCATTACTTGAAGTGAGTAATCCATGCTTTATTGCCTCTACTTTAGGGGCAAGAAACCAATTGGGTGTTGTGCCTAAGAACGTGGACCCTGTGGCCAGACTGCTTGGATCAGTGTCCTCCCTCCACCACTTTGTAGCCATCTGACCTCAGGCAAGTTACTTCACCTCTCTATGCCTTGGCTCCTCATTTATAAACTGGTGATATGAACAGAGCCTGTGTTCTAGGATTGCTGTGACAATTACATAGAAATGAGTCAACATGTACATAGCACACAGAACAATGCCAGGCACACAGCAAGTGCTATTTATGTTCTTCTTTCTTCCTCCTCCTCCTCTTCCTCCTCCTCTTCTTACTTTATGCCATTCTGATAAACACTATTTTATTTATTTTATAATTTAGGAACTGATTCTAAACTACATTAAGTAATTTGTTTAAGGTCGAGCATCTAGTGAGTGTTGGGCACTGTGTTGGAGCTTCAGTCTGTCTGACTTCAAGGCCTGTGCTCCTTTCAAGGTGAGGTGTTTGACACATCCCCTGCTTGCCATCCTGGTGGCATTCTCTCAACCACCAAAGCTTATGAAAACATGCCACTCAGGTTAGCTTCCACCGGACACTGACAGAGGAGCAATTATACCTCCGCCAAAGAAAATTCTCAATGCCAATAAGGGTTCTGGCTACTGTGGTATACTTAGAGGAAATGAATTTAGGAAGTTTTAATTAAGATTTCAAGGATGAGAAGAGGAAAATATGAAGGAGACGGAATAAATATTCTTCTACTTTGATTGGGAGGGTCAAAATTCGCTTTCGCTGTCTTATGAAGGTTGAAGTTCTAGGATTCAGGAATAGGATTCTTTGCTATTGGGTATTAAAAAGCAATAGAGCTCCAAATATATGCAATCAATCCATCCCATCTTTAGGGAAACCTAAATCTAAGCCACCTAGTATAGAGAGCCACTTGTCCTGTGAGTAAAGACTTTTACAAGATTTAACAGAGAATAGGAGCAGGAAAGAGACCAACGTAAGGCAGTTGCTAGAACAACAGAATTGCTTTACAGTTCTGACTTCACAACCTCATTTTCCTGACCTGATAGTTCTGAGACGAACTTCTCTGGGTGCATCTAGAATCTATTCCTTCTGTGAGGTGGTCACCAGGCCTGGTGACCTTTTAAGTTTAATGTATTAGAGCCAGCTGGGTCTTTGAGCCAGTGGAAGGAGACTGTGTGAACACTTGTAAGCCATGTGCCTTTGTCCAGTAGCGTTTCAGTGCTACCTAAGCATCTCTACAGCTATTGTGTCTGACCTGCTCTGGGGATTGAAACATATAGTTGGAACAGGAGGCAGTGGCTTTTTTTTTTTCTTCGATAGATTTCTAAAACCTTTAAATGAAGTACTGCATATATACAGAAAAGTACATAGAGCATAAGTATATAGTCCAGTGAGCTATCACAAAATGAATGTACCTGTGTAAGTGCCACTCAGGTTAAAGAATAGAGCATTATCAGCACCCAAGAAACCCACTGAATATTCCCTCCAATTTATCATGCTCTTCCTTCTCTCCAAAGGTTACCACTGTCCTGACTTATAACGCCATAGGTTAGTTTTATTTGCATTTGAGCCACATATAATTAGAATGATACATTCTGTATTCTTTCAGGTCTGGTGACTTTCACTTACTGTTACATTTGAAAGTTTTAGTAGATTTGCATGTAATAGGAGTTCATGTATTTTTACTGCTGAATAGTTTTCCATTCTATAAATATACTATGAGTTATTTACCCATTCAACTGTCCCTTTAATGGACATTTAGGTTGTTTAAAATTTGAGGTTATTATGAATAATGCTGCCACAAACATTCTTATACATGTCTTTTGTGTATATTTCTGTGGGAGTACATATCTGCAAGTGGAATTGCTGAGTCAGAAAGTATGCATGTAGTACTCAGCGTTAGAGGAACCTTGCCAAAGAGTTTTCCAAAGTGGAAATGTGCCAGTTTACGCTTCCACCAACAGTGTGTATGTTCAAAATCCTTGCTAACATTTGGTATTGTCAGGCTTTTAAATTATGATTGTTCCAATAGGTGTGTAGTAGCATGTCATTGTGGTTTTAATTTTTATTTTCCTGAAGACTGATAAAGTTGAGTACCTTTGGAAATGTTAATTGGCAATTTGGCTACCTTTGGTGAAGTGCCTGAACATGGCACTGGGTTATTTGTCTTCCTTATTAATTTGTAGTTTTCACTTATCCTGGACATGCGTTATATGTGTTGCAAATAATTTCTCCCACTATGTGGGTTGCCTCTTCGGTACTTTAATGGTATTTTGGGGTGAACAGAACGTCTTAAAATTAAAGGACCACAATGTATCTTTGCCTTTTTGATTAGGACATTTTGTGACTATTTAAAAATCTTCTAAGATCATAAAGATATTCTCCCATGTTAACTTCTAGAACAGGGGTTGGCAAACTATGGACTGTGATCCAAATCCATTCTGCCAACTGTTTTTGTAAATAAAGTTTTATTGGGATACAGTCATGCTCATTCATTTACACATCACCCATGACTACTTTTGTGCTACAACAGACCTTATGGCACACAAAGCCCAGAATGTTTATTCTCTGGCTCTTTACAGAAAAAGTTTGCCAAACCCTCTAGAAGATTTATTGTTTTGCCTTTCACATTTGGAATGGTATTTGTGTATAGTGTGTGATAGGGATCAAGATTTTTTTTCCATATGAATATGTAATTGAACCAGTGTCATTTATTAAGGGCTTAGCCTTTCCCCATGATTCCCTATGTCATAAATCAAATCAAGTATACATATATGTGTGGATCTGTTTCCAGATTTTCAATTCTTTTTATTGGTCCATTTTTCTATCCCATGACCAATACGACTCTGTTTTACTTGGTGCACTTTTAAAAGTGAGTCACGATATCTTCCCACTTCATTTTTCTTCAAGGTTGTCTCTGTTACTGTTAAGACTTGACATATCTGTATTAGTTTTTGAATAGGCCTGTCAATTTCCTCAAAACACCTTCCTGGGATTTAGATTGGCATTATATTGATTCTGTAGATCAATTTGGAGAGGTTTGACTTATTTACAGTGATGAGATCCTTCCAGTTCATAAAAGTGATGTATTTTTTAATTTATTTAGGTCTTCTTCAATTTCTTTCAATAATATTTAGACCTGACTTTGATATCCTGTACATATTTTGATTGGTTTATTTCTAGGTATCTTTGATGCTATGATAATTTATGTCAACACTAGCTTTTGTGTAAAAGAAAAAAACTACTAACTAGTCACCTACTGATATGGTTTAGCTCTGTGTCCCCATCCAAATCTCATGGCAAATTGTAATCCCCAATGTTGGAGGAGGGGTCTGGTGGGAGGTGATTTGATCCTGGGGGCAGATTTTCCCCCTGCTATTCTCACAACAGTGAGTTCTCACGTGATCTAGTTGTTTAGAAGGGTGTAGCACTTACCCCTTCTTATTCTTCCTCCTTCTCTGGCCATGTAAGATGCGCCTCCTTCCTCTTCATCTTCTACTGATGATTGTCAGTTTCCTGAGGCCTCCCAGCCATGCTCCCTGTGCAGCCTGCAGAATCAGGAGCCAATTAAACCTCTTTTCTTTGTAAATTACCCAGTCTCAGGTAGTTCTTTATAGCAATGTGAGAACAGACTAATACACCCAGCAAATGCCATGCTGTAGTGGAAATACTGTGGAGACCAAAACAATGTTACATGCTCTAAGAAATAAAAATTGTTGGGTGGTAAAGGGAAATGACAAGCCTGGCAGGAAAAAATCATCACACACAGCACATTTATATACACACACTCACTTAAGTGTCTGTCTCTTCCATGGGTTGAGAATGCATACTGGTATTGGCTCTTAAGACTCCATGACAGAATGGAAAGAGTGCTAGTGGAATGTCAGGACTCCTGGATCCTAAGCTTGGTTCTTCACAAACTAGTTGTGAAATTTCAGGCATAGCTCTACTTAACCTCCTTAGATCTCAGTTTTTACACCTCTAAAAAGTGAGTTGGCTCTAACATTGACTTATAAATAAGGAAAGGGAACCCTTTGGTTCCTGGTGAGTTCTGACATAGGGATGTCCTGGGCATGATTTGTATGATTTGGGGGGCGGGGTCTGCCTGCCAAGAGATTTCTTAAAGAAAAGCTATCTTCCTACTAGTTTGTGAATGCTTAGTAAATTCTTTGACAGAACAAATGTCTCTGAGAGAGGGGATCCCCTGAGGTGAATAAGCAGAGGAATAACAGATGCAAGAAGACATCACAAGGATCAGGCACAGGTGCCTTACCTGAAGTACGTTCCAGAGGTGGAGAAGGTTCAGGAAAAAGCATAGAGGCAGAAGTGCAATGAAGCTGGCAGTGTCCATGCAGGGACTTCCCTTTGAATCATGAAAGTTTCATAGAAGAGATGAATTGAGATTCTGCCTTAAAAGTCTTTAAAGAAAGAGTTACAATCAATGGACAAAAAGTGCTGCCATTTCTCTTTGTGTCTAACAGTGATGATGAGGAGTGGGTAGAGCAGCAAAGGCTGTTTGTCAAAATTCATGGTCCTCCTCACCTAGTAAAATATTCACCCTGGAATATTTCCTGATCTTTGATCCCTGATCCCTGCTGCCCAATCAGAGACTCCATTCCCAGCACACCCCTGCATTTGTGTTGAGCCAGTAGAATATATAGAATTAGTATTTGTTACTTCTGAACCACGACCATTAAGAAGCATGTGTGCCTTCTCCATCTTTTGTTTCTCTTTCCATGGCTAGAACCTAAGGACTCCCAGTTCCCAGGAGATAATGGAGCCTCAAGATGTAAGGAGCCCGTCTAAGCTTTGTGCTGCTATAACAGAATACCTGGGACTGGGTAATTAATTAAGAACAGAAATTTATTTCTCACAGTTCTGGAGGCTGGAAAGTCCAAGATCAATGCACCAGCATGTTAATTGCTTGGTGAGGGTCTAGTCTCTGCTTCCAAGATGGTGCCTTCAATGCTGCAACCCCTGAGGGGAAAAAGAGATGTATCCTCACATGGTAGATAGCAGAAGGGCAAAAAGGGATGAACTTCCTCTATCAACACCTATTATAAGGACAGCTAATATCATTCCTGAGAGTAGAGACCTTATGGCCTAATCACTTCTTCAAGGCCCTATCTTTGAATACTATCAATCACACTGGCAACACTCGAATTTTGGATGGGACACATTCAAGCCATAGCAGAGCCTCAATCTTTGAGTTATCTCATTGAGGAAAGTGGTGTGCCCACCGGGAATACTTCCACCAGACTGTTCTGTGAATGAGAAATAAAATTCTGTTGTTGTGTTAAGTCACAAAAGTTTGAGGTTTATTTGTTACAGCAGCCAATGTTAACCTAAAAAATGCAGTTTGTTTCCGAAACAATTCACAGTAGTGACAGGAAAGGAATAAAAGCACAATGTTCTTATATTACTGCCATTTCACCTAGGAAAAGAGAGAAAATGTGAAAGGAGGATAATTAAAAAAAAAAGTTTCCCCAAACTTTTTAAAGTTACTGGAGAATGTTCACAATTTATATAAAAATAGGATGATAATAATGTCAACACGTAATATCTGTGCCTAATAGATTTTCACTCCCCCAAGTTGCATTTTAATTTTCCTAAATTGGCTCATGACATATTCTTATGTGGGATTCAACATTTAGCAACAAATAAGACTTCCCTCTCTCTTGGCACTTCTTACTCCTCCCTTTCCCCCACGCATCCATATCCCTGCTGCCTTCTCCTTCCCACAAAGCTCATTTTTGGCAAAGTGGTTTTTATAAACCACACATTTTAATGAATTAAGTGTAGTCCCACGATCACACTTACATTCTCCTACAGTCCCCTGACTTCCACACTCCTCCAGCTATGGGAATTTTCCCTCACACCTCCAGAAAGGAAAAAAATGAATTGAAAATTTTGTCTATAAGTAGAAAAGTTATGCACAGAATGTGATGGCTCTCCCACTTTTCTTTTTTTCTTTTTCTTTTTTTTTTTAATGCAAGAAGGAAGATGATTTTCAAACATTGCACGTCCTCTGAGAAACTAAAATATTCAGTGCTGTTTTTCTTTTGGCAGTAGCATAATTGGTTGTGATCATAAACCCACATAGTTCCTTTTATCCTTTTTAGTGGCAGCTTCATGGATTGTCTTCTACCCTGTCAAAGAAGAGAGTTGGGGTGTTTGACAGCAAAGAAATTTAGGAGAATTTCAGAGCAGAAAAGGACTTTGTACATCATAGTTTCCAAACTTCTTATTTTACCGCTGTGGATACTGAGGTTCACAGGTGGTTTAACTTGCCGAAAGTCATGGGGTTAGCCAATAGCTTCTGCGAAATTAAGCTATACCCAACTTTTACAGTTTGTATCACATGAAGTTTCAATCACACAATCTTCTTGGATCCTTGCAACAGCTGCATGATGGTACTAGAACCACCCTCTGCTAGTGAAGTGACATAAGAATGCTCATCAGAGTGCTAGGACTTAGAATTGCATCCCTGGCCAGGTGCGGTGGCTCACGCCTGTAATCCCGGCACTTTGGGAGGCTGAGGCCGGTGGATCACGAGGTCAGCAGATCGAGACCATCCTGGCTAACATGGTGAAACCCCGTCTCTACTAAAAAATACAAAAAATTAGCCAGGCGTGGTGGCACATGCCTGTAGTCCCAGCTACTTGGGAGGCTGAGGCAGGAGAATGGCGTGAACCCGGGAGGCGGAGCTTGCAGTGAGCTGAGATCGTGCCACTGCACTCCAGCCTGGGTGAAAGAGCAAGACTTCGTCTCAAAAAAAAAAAAAAAAAAAAAAAAGAATTGCATCCCTGACCACTGAGTCCATATTCTCAAGTCCACCTAGCCTTTTTTTTTTTTTTTTTTTTTTTATGTTTTTGTGGTGTCACCAACAAAGCATTAGACGCTTGGCCAGGGTCTGGAGTTACCTAGACAAAGGGCATAATCTATGCTCTCTAAGAGCACACAGTTTAGTGAGGGCAGATAAATAAACAGGTGATTCCAGCCCAGTATGATCAATGCTTCTATCTTTTGCACTTGGCATGCAATCATTTCAGAAGCAATGGTTGCATTTCCCAAGAAAAAAAACAACAACAAAATAACTAACAGCAGTGGTGGTAGCAGCAGCAGCAGCAGCAGCAGCAGCCGATTGCTGACTCATCAAACGAGGAGGCACCAACAGCTTTGCCTCCCAACTAAGGAACATCTTACTCAATCTCCTTCCCACCCCCCATCACCACCTGTAGGCTTGGAACCAATAAAGGCTTTGGAAATGAAAGATAATGTGCTAATAGGATGTTAAAACAAAACCACTCTCACCACCCACCACCAGAGGTAGTTTGTGTAAAGGCGTTATTCCCGAGCCTCGTGCTTCATTTCATGACTCCAACTTGTGGCACTTTGCTAGGTTTGCAAGTGTTGCTTATCCAGAGAGCTCAGAGATTGTTTTTGGCAAAGGACTCAAAGCAGGCAGATCCAACCCCTCTCGCTGTCTCTTTCTTGTTGCCAAAACATAAGACTCTTAGTTTTATGGAAAAGTCGTGTGAATTTTGCTTCCAAGGAATAACCTGAGATTACAGTTAAAATTAAGTAGTAGAGGAAGATTGGGAATTAGAAAAACTAAGATCTGGTCCTGAAAATTAATACTGTGTATACCATACCGTTAATGCTGTGTATTAATTTTAACTCTTGAACAAGGCTATTCACCTCTTGGTTTTAGTTTTTCCATCTTTGAAATAAGAAGAGTGAACTAAATATTTTCTAAAGTCTCCAACAATTCTGGCATGTATGCATTCAAAATTTTGTTATTTAATTTTAGAGAATATTTATTGAGTTCAGTTACCATTAGTTATGTGCCAATCACTGTGGTACACACTGGTGAAAAGAGGTGAAAGGCCCAGCTGCCTTTCATATGGCTGAGAGACGAGCTAGGGAGTGGAGCAGTTAAAATTTAGCAGGAGGCGTGGGTTTGAAGAGGTGTGCACAGGAAGCTGTGGGGCACAGAAAAAGGGCACTGGGCACCTCCAGATTTACTAGATCTTTCTCCACTGATAGGAATCAGAACTTGCCACTCTAAAACAGGCAACTTTAGCATATTGATTATTTTGAGCTGAATGAACAGCAGCTGTAGGAAAGGCTCTCTGATCTCTCCCTTTCTACCCAAAAGCTGGCACAGACTTCCTACAAGAAAAGTGCCTTCCTTTCCCTTACCAGGGAGAAGAGAACATTCCTATTACTGAAGACAGAGAGTCAATGTCAAGATGAATCTGTACAAACAAACCTACGAAAACAACCTTTATCTTCCACTAGTTTCTCCAATATTTCCTAGTCACTTTCCCACAATTTGCTGCCCCAGCCCCAACTCCTTTCGCTCCACAGTTGATCTTTCACATCTCCACAGTTGATCATTCTTTGTTGAAATGGTATATACCCTCTCGGGCCTTTTCATTTCTTTTTTCTGTGAAGTCTCCTATGCCATGCAAAAATATTAACATCAAATAAAATGTCTATGCTTTTCTCCTGTTTCTCTGTCTTTTGTCAGTTTAATTCTCAGGCCCAGCTGCAGAACCTAAGAGGGTAGAGGAAAAAGCTTTCCTCCCTTACACCACCTTTGCTCTTCCCTGGGAGATTGGTCTACATGGACCACGTCAACAAGACTCCTGGGCCGTCTGGTTTCTTGTTGGCTTCAACTGACAGGCAGCACTTTAGGAGACTGGGGCAGAGAGGAGAGGCAGCTCTGGAGTATTTCTTTCTCTCCTTGGGAAGATGACTCCATCAAATATCACTGCTCATCCCAAACTCACCTACTGTCTCCCTTACCTTCTCCCTTACGACCTACAGATAATGAGAGCTCCACTGCTGCTGCTAGTCCAAAGTTTCTGTACCAGTTCCTGTAGTTTCACTTAACTACACCCACAACTTTATAATTAGTTGCTTGTAAATAAACTTTCCTCATATTTAGATTGATCAGAGGGTGTCATCTGTTTTCTGTTGGGACCCTGGATGATGTAGGCATGAAAACCACTTTTGAGGTGTGTGTATATTGGAGGTAGTGAAGGAGCAGTTAGTTAAAAGGAAAGAAAGGGCAGGAGAATGGGGAAAGCGTCCCAAAGGAAAACAGAGCTAAGTCTTAAAAGATGTCTTGAAAAGACACAATGTCTTGAAAGAAATAATGAGAAGGGAGAAATAATTTCAGAGAGAAACATGTGGAGGCTCAGAGACTTGAAAATGTCCTGGGGAAGGTGCAAATGATCAAGGTGACTGCAGGGAAGGACTGGTAGGTAGGAGGATGGTAAGCGATGAGGTTGGAGGGGAGGCGAGGGAGAGATCATGAAGGACTCTGTATGTTCTGTGAATGCGTTTGGGTTCTATCCTGAAGACAATGGGAAATTACTGAAAGATTTTTAAGCAGAAAAGTAACATAATCTGGTTGGAATTTCAAAAGATTCCTCTGGTATGTAGTGTGGGAGAAAGCAGGACTAGAAGCAGGGAGATTGTTTGGCATGTTCCTTCAATGATCAACACAAGAGTCAGTGACAATATGAAATTTGGCAGTGGTGGTGGGGCAGCAGGAAGTATATGTGAGAACTATTGAGGAATTTGGTGAGGAATTGGGTCCGGTAGTAAGTCTGAGATGATGCCCAGATGTTTGGGTTGGGCCAGTTAAAAGATGGTGGAATCATTCACAAACAGACGGGATCCTAAAGGGGGAACTGTATTAATCTGTTCTCGCATTGCTATAAAGAAATACCTGAAACTGGGTAATTTATAAAGAAAAGAGGTTTAACTGGCTTACAGTTCCACAGGCTCTACAGGAAGCATAGTGGCATCTGCTTCTGGGGAGGCTTCAGG
Organism: Homo sapiens; assembly: GCF_000001405.40. Taxonomy (NCBI): domain Eukaryota; kingdom Metazoa; phylum Chordata; class Mammalia; order Primates; family Hominidae; genus Homo; species Homo sapiens. Next base: position 14,466,820 of record NC_000006.12, read on the forward strand.
AAACTTACAATCATGGTAGAAGGCAAAAGGGGAGCCAATACTACACGGCCAGAGCAGGAGAAAGAGAGAAAGAGGGAAGAGGTGCTACACACTTTTAAACAACCAGATCTCATGATAACTCACTCACCCACTATTATGAAAACAGCACTGAGGGGATGGTTTAACCTATCCATGAGAACTACACCCCCTTGATCCAATCACCTCCCATCAGGCTCTATCTCCAACACTGAGGGTTAGAAGTCAACATGAGATTTGATGGGGACACAGATTCAAACCATATCAAGAGCCAAACTCAATTAACTCCTCATTCGTTTTTTCCCAGTACCCTCAGGAACGTCCCCTGATCACTGGCTTTTTTTCAACATTCAGCTTGCATATTGCCCTTCAGTGGCCTCTGCTATTACGACCCAGCCAGTGGGGGGCCATATCAGTTCCTTCCTCACATTTAAAAACTACTGAGTGAATACATGCACAGTTCCAGGCACAGAGTTAAACATTGAATAGAGGTTACTATGAAAACCAATGTGTAAACTCAGTCCAAAATAAGTATGGTTATAAAACGTCTTTGCTCATTCAATAAATCCTTTTTGAGTGCCTACTTTGTGCCTTTTGTTGTTTATTCCTTATGTGGGCAACTGTCAAAAAGCTGTGAGAAAGGGCTTATGCTATTTAAATAATTTCTTCTCTCTCTTTGTATTCTTCTCCATTTCTCCTTTTGTTCTCCCCCCTTTCTCCTCCTCTTCCTCCTCCTTCATTTCCTTCGGCTTTCTTTTTCCTATATGCATACAGTTTTTGTGTCCGGGAGAAAAAAGGTCTAGAGAGCTAGATTTTTAGAGAGCATTAAAAAAAACTTGCCTGAATTATTGATTCATAGCTTTATAATGCACCCAGTATAGTAAGGACATTTATAGATTTCATGAGCTGTTTAATATCTATTTGTGGAGTACCACCATGTGCAATCATCTTGGACTCATTATGTTTCTTTGGCTGCCCAGTGAGTCATAACGAGCCTCTGAAAAAATGTAGAATAATGGTTTAGAACTAGAGGGAATGAAATAACAGTCAAAGTCAAATATGAAATTATTAGTACATGTAGTCTGTAAGAGCAATCAAGACAAGGAAGGGATAGAGGGCCTATTATTACATGCACATGTGTGCACACACATGTGCATGCACAAACTTTAAAGGGTTTTCAGTAAAGGGGGAGGTAGCTGGGGAGCCCTATGAAGAAGATTCTTAAAAGTGAAGGGTTGCAGCTCTATTTTTCCATTAAGATTCAAGCACGTGGGGGTAGGGAGCTCAAATTATGGGGAGGAAATAGAAAAGCCAATGGAGGCCCTTCTGAGAAGAGGGAGCCCTGTACTGAGAGGATGAAAGAGACTTTATTCTCCAGCAGTTAAAATGAAGAGGAAGAGATCATTTCTAAACAGGGCACAAGAAATGGCTTCATTTCTCCCTATTAACCTCTGTTCCCCTAAAGAAAGCCAGTTGAAGCAAGCAGGACAAAAGAATTCTATGTAAGCCTAGTGAAGAATACCTTCTATGATGGGAGCCATATTTTGAAAAAATATTAATGTAATTTTCTCTTTCAATTGTGCAAGTATAGATCTTTATTTCTAATTGGTTCCAAGGTCATCAGCCCAGAGGTCTGTGGGTGTGTTCTATGGTGTGCAAAGGGAAAAAAAGAGGATATTCAGCATTTGATATTTAAAACAGGATTTCAAGCAAGATAATAGTCTTGAAAGAAGACTTTTTTTTTCTTCCTGAGACCCATCTGAATTGCTTTATCTCCTCCTTTGGCCTATGTACTGAATTCTTATCATTTTATGTTATCTTTGCATCCATTTTGAATATAAATTGGACTTTCTCATACAGAAGCAGGGCTTTATCTTCTTCGACACAGTTTCCAGTTTTCTGCCTCCTCCCAGTTCCTCAAGCTGGTTAATCCAGACATCTGCCCTATACAACTCCTTTCCCCTGGCAACCACCTCCCTAGGGAACAGTTAGACACAGCCTACTTGACTTGCCTCACTGACCCCCACACCCCATGTGGACTGCACAGATGTGCACCAGTGACCACTTCTCAGTCACAGCACAACTCCATGGAATTCGTGTCTGCTTGCTCTGAACTCACCAGTTAGAACTCCCCCAGGGAAACCTGCTTAGATAATGCTCTGGACCCCAATAAAGGCTTTGACCCACAGGTTTTTCTCCCTTCCTTGCTCTCTGCCCACTGAGTGAGCACATATGTCCCTGAAGGTTCCTCTGTTCTGCTGGTCCTGCAAAACGTGCTGCCCTCCTTTCTCTGGGATCTGTAAGTAATAAACTGCTTCTGGTATTTCATGTGTTTTGTGGAGTTGCCTCCTCTGTGTCTCTCCTGACCAACACACGTGAACCTAACTTCTTTCCAAATCATGGTTCTCCTATAGAATGGCTATCTTGGCAGGAGTAAACTGGACACAGTCCAGATAAAAGCCACAAGGGCATCTGATAGTATAAACAAATTTTCTGTGAGAGGGGCACCTGGTCACAGGTTGAACACTTAGGCATGAGGCTGTCCACCAAGATAAAGAAGCACCCCAAGAAAGGCACACTGTAAACATCTACAGGAAAATCCCTGGAGCCCTGTCAAGTCAGCACTAGAGTTTATATTCACTGTCCGGAGAGAGACCTCAAGAACAAATTAGAAATACAACAGCCTATTCAGCACCAACAAGAATCACCCAGATCTACAAGTTTCCCTGCAGGGTAGAAAAGTTATTCTTTTGGAGACAACAGGTAGGCCATGAAGCTTGCTGGTCCATGGGAAGAGGAGATACCACAGAGGAAGACAGGCAAGCCCTACTCTTCCTGTCCCAGGAGATGATGAGAGGAAAAATGAAGAGAGAGTGAAGGGGAGGGGGCTGATTTAGGACTATCCCAAAGGAGTTAATGCAAACACCAAGGAGGCACTGAGACAAAATAGAGGAGCATTGTCAAGGGGATGGATTGGGGTTGGGGAGAAATTTGCCCTTCTGGAAGACTCCATCAGTTGCTATCTGGTAAAGGAAGATTGAATATACAAATGGACAATGACCAGACCATACTTAAAAATAGAACTCTGGCCGGGTGCGGTGGCTTGTGCCTGTAATCCCAACACTTTGGGAGGCTGAGGCAAGTGGATCACCTGAGGTTGGGAGTTTGAGACCAGCCTGACCAGCATGGAGAAACCCTGTTTCTACTGAAAATACAAAATTAGCTAGGCATGGTAGTGCATGCTTGTAATCCCAGCTACTCGGGAGGCTGAGGCAGAAGAATTGTTTGAACCTGGGAAGCAGAAGTTGCAGTGAGCTGAGATCACGCCATTGCACTCCAGCCTGGGCAACAAGAGTGAAACTCCGTCTGAAAAAAAAAAAAAAAATAGAACTCTGACCCACAATCTGCAGGAATCTGCCCACCTTATCTATATAACACCCCCCTTATCTACAATAACCAGCCTAGGAAGCCAGCCTGCCTGAAGTCAGACTTGCAGGAGGCCAGATTGCTGTCTCTAGTAACAATCAATGAAGCTGAATAGTAACTTCTGTAATAATCTGCAAAAAATGACCAGAACTTTATGAATAATGGACAGCTTCCCTAATTTTTGTCCATGCTTCCAACGTAGGGCCAACCAGAGAAAGGCAAATATTCACCCCTAAGTAATCACTTAGGATGCCCCCGCTCCTAGTGAGCCAGCCACCTCCAGCTTCCCATGCCAACAGCCTCCAATCAGCATACACCTGGAGCCTTCCCTTCATGCCACTCTAAGGCTCCTCCACTCCTCTGCCCGCCTTTGCATTGCTGCCAAAAGTGACAGTGGCAGACTCCCTTGCTATAGAAAGCTCTGAATAAATAGCCTTTGCTTTTCTCATTTGGTTGGTCTTCGTTTATTTCTACAGTAGAGAAGCTTAGAATAGAGTCAGTTGGTCTAACATGAGGGCCTCTATGGCAGGAAATAGATTGTCTAGGCTGGAGAATTGAATGAGGAATCAGAGTGTGTTACAAATGGCTATTGCTGAGGGAAGATAAAGTCACCCAGAGAGAGCTGTCAGGCCTGACCAAGTGAGAGGAACCAGAACAAGTATTATCCTGGCTGTGAGCTTGAGCTATGAACTCCAGTGGGGTAAGTGGCAAGCGAGAGACTCCAGGAACCAGACCCTGGACCTTGACCTGTCTATTCTTCCTTCTGTAAGAAGACACGTAAGTCACATCCCTTCCCCTATATACCAAGAAACTATCTGGGAGAGGAGCTGCAGAGAAAAGTAGAAGTGTGAAAAATTGGAGTGATTGGGCATTTTTACTTAAAGATGTGGGGTATCCATTAAAGGGGCTGTTTAAATGACTGCATCATCAGCTTTGCTGTTACTTCCCCACTAACCAGCTCACCCATAAAAGCATATCAGTTATGGGAAAAATATTAAAACCATATTTTCTCTGCATGTTGAAGTTGTAGTTAAGCAAATTTTGTAATTCCATAAGAACTGAAACTAATGTATTTTCTTGTTCCTTAGCTAAACAACTCTGGGATAAAGAATAGGCTTTTAGTTGAACAATGCTGAGATCAGGCAAAAACAACTCAGCTACTTGCTCCAGTGGATACCCGCTCCTGGAAAATAAGACTGTGGAGCTACTGAAACAGCTGACTTATCAGGACTAACGGGTCACTCATCAAAGCTCACTTTCATATTCTCACCTTGTGGTGCCTACCAGTCCAAAGCTATTGTGCCATAAATTCTGCCCAATCCCAACCAGTTCCCTGCCTTTGAAGACCCACCTAAGAATCACCCAGCCTAGGCCCTAAAACCCTAAATAATCCTCCCCTGACTTCTCTCTTCTGAGATGCTACTGGATTCTGTATCTAGATCAAGCTGATGTTCTCTCTTATTGCAATAAGTCTATTAAAAACCCAGCTTTGCTTAACCAACACTTTTTCTTTTCTGGTGGTCTTTTTGGACACTCCATAGCCAGTGCCATTATGCTTTAAATTGCATAGTCTGGCTATGGAATACTAGGGGAAAACAGCCACAGGCAACAAGTTAAGCTCATAGCTACAGGAAACAGATGAATTCTTTCTGAGCAAAAGTAACTACAACCCAGAAGACCAAACGTTAGAAGTGTACATCCAGGAGAAGCTATAAACACCTATCCTAGTAACAAAGACATAAGACATGTAGTTTCTATACACGGAGTAGACCAATCACACCACTTTTATTTTCAGTGATTTCCTGTACACACAAAGAGCATCAATTAAATTTAAGAAGAAAACAGTATACAAAAGAACATATAAAATATCTACATAAATGTATGCACAGATATGATGCATAGTTGGGACCATGCAAGTCCAGGGGTTCTTTTTCCATACCTTGTATTAAATTCACCCAGTATTTAGGGAAGATGACATGGTTTGACTGTGTCCCCACCCAAATCTCATCTTGAATTACAGCTCCCATAACCCCCAAGTGTCATGGGGGGACCTCTTGGGAGGTAATTGAATAATGGGAGTGGGTTTTCCCATGCTGTTCTCATGATAGTGAATAAGTCTCATGAAATCTGATGGTTTTATAAAGAGCAGTTCCTCCACACACACTCTCTTGCCTGCCACCATGTAAGACGTGCCTTTGCTCCTCTTTCACCTTCCACTATGATTGTGAGGCATCCCCAGCCATGTAGAACTCTGAGTCCATTAAACCTCATTTTCTTTATAAATTACCCAATCTTGGGTATTTCTTCATAGCAGTATGAAAATGGACTAACACAGAAGAAAAGGAAGGAGGAAGAGAAGGAGAAGAAGGCCCTGATTTTCCTAAGGCTCCTGTAGACCAGATTACTTCACGCTCTCCTTTTCAGAGCTCTCACATAGAAAAGCTAAAAGGACAGGCCCATGGATATGGAAAAAGCTGGACAAGCACGTACATCCAGTGATGCCTGCTTAATATGTTCACTTTGCACACCCTCTTAGCCCAGTCCCTTCCCATGGCCCCCAGGCTCATGCTTCATGTTGTCCACATAAGCATTTCTATTGTGTCTTGACACCAAGCATCAATTCCTCAGTTACCACAATTTGCAATTCTCATCCATGTCATCCTCAACACATAATGCTTTATTCCCTCTCCTTGGCTGTCAGTGAGAACTTGGAGGGCACTTGCTTCTATAGTTAACTCTCAGATGAGGGTTGGCTGAATCTTGGAAGCGGCTAGAACATTTGCTCAGTGCCGCCTCAGATGAGTTGTCATCTCCCTGCTCTGCTGTCAGTTCTGATTGCACCGCCCTGGTTTCTTGGGCTGCCGCTGCCTCATGTCAGGCCCTCTGAAAGACCTCGTCCTGCAGCTGGTATCTCTTGCTTTCTCTGGACACGGTGTCTGCCCACCCGGGAGGCCCAGAGAAACTAAACCCTCCAGCGTGACTCAGCAGAAAAGAACTGGGTTGCTGTTGCTGGCCGACACCATCCTGTTTCTATTTTTCTCCTCATACAGCTGTGACTAGCCCAGAAAGTCACTTTCTGTCCCCAAACATCTGTTCTCCAAACATCTCTTTGCCTGTCAGTCCTCCCACCCTATAGATTTTCATATTTCATCACCGTAGTACCATCTTGTTACAGCAAAACTGGTTGAAAGGAGTAAGATTATATAAGATGGGGGACAAAAAGATTTCTCATAGGAAAACAAATATGTAACTTTAAGTGCTTAAAAGTTAAAAACAAAAACAAAAACAAAAAACTTTTCTTTAGAGATGGGGTCTTGCTCTGTTGCCCAGGCTGGTTTTGAACTCCTGGGCTCAAATGATTCTCCCAAGTAACTGCGACTATAGGAATGAGCCACCACATCTGGCTCTAAGAAAGTTTTTTTGTTTGTTTGTTTTTTAAAGAAAATATTGCACTTATTTTGTGTAACTTCGTAGCACTGAAACAGTTGGTGGAAATTATAGAAATGCAACTCTTCACTATAACAAGGACGCTCTGGTGATAGCTCTCGGTTATAGCAGCTAGACGTATTAAGTGAACAAACCTACCTGTAAAGTTCCTAGACTTCAGTGCAGAATATTTCTGTGTGTTCTCTTTGTGAAAGTCTGTTGAGCTTATGAACTACTTTTTTGTATGTATGTTATTTTTCAGTAAAAAGTGCAAAAAATGAGAAGAACCATCCCGTCATGCATATGTGTTCTATTGGTGGGGATTTTGAAGCAGAGACCAAATGACTTTTTTTTTTTTTTGAGATGGAGTCTCACTCTGTCACCCAGGCTGGAGTGCAGTGGTGCGATCTTGGCTCACTGCAACCTTCACCTCCCGGATTCAAGCCATTCTCCTGCCTCAGCCTCCTGAGTAGCTGGAATTATAGGCACCCACCACCATGCCTGGCTAATTTTTGTATTTTTAGTAGAGATGGGGCTTCACCATGTTGGCCAGGCTGGTCTTGAACTCCTGACCTTGTGATCCACCTGCCTCAGCCTCCCAAAGTGCTGGGATTACAGGTGTGAGCCACCGCACCAAGCCCAAATGACATCTTATTTGGACAATCATAAGAGAGTCATACCCAGGACAGAAAGCTGGATAGCACCTCAGTTTCTTTAGACTTCATGATTCTGTTTTCTGTTTCTTCCTGAGATGGAGAATTAGCACAACATACAGGCTTCTGCTGCCAAAATCAACCCTTGAGAAACCATAGAAGCAAGAGGGAAAGATGAACTCCAGGAACTGACAACACTTGCAACAACACAAAACCTTGAGAGATCTCTGGAGTGACAGCAGCTTGTCTCATCTGGCATGAGGTGGGGGACGTAGTGGCTGCAGTGGGGGGCTGAGGGAAGAGGCCCAAAGCCGCCTTTGGAGAGGAGGTTGGAAGTAAGCTTTACAAATTCTGCTCTGGTGTCCCCACATCTGCTCCACCCAGGAGTTGCCTGAGGACCAGCCTTGACTGCCCCAGCACAGAAATGGCTACAGTGGCTCAGTGCTGGTGTCCTATTGTCTGAGGGTGTGGGGGTGAGGCAGCACTTATATCTGGCAGAAGAAAACCTGATGGAAGGGGGAGTTGATGAAAATAGAGGGTGCCTGAGCAGCTGCACTCAGGATCTCCCTAACCTTCACTCTTAGCCCCCAGGCTGGTGGGTGGCCACCTTGGAGACGGCCTCCTACATGTGCTGAATCATTCTAAGGGTTTCAAGTTAAACCTCCCCACAGAGGTTTCTGGTGAGTGATGGACAGTGTCTTGGGTGGTGGGGCTCCCACCCTGCCCTGGGGCTTATGCCCTGCCACTCCTGTGGCCCTCTGGAATGTGCAGCACTGGAACCCCTCAGTGGTATTCCGGGGGACTGCAAGTTCACCTGGGCACAACCATGTTCCTGCTGAGTACTCCTGCTGAAAAGGGCCACAAACTGTGCAGAAGTGTTGCAAGAGTTGGGATTCAAATGGATTCTGGTTAATATGAGTGAAGAAATAAGGGAAGGTAATATCAATATAAAATACAGGGAAGAAATTGTAAGAATAAAGAACTGGAAGCACTAGTTCTGAAAATAATGTGAATTCAACTATGCTGCTCTCCCCTGTGCTCTGTGAACATTGCTCATTTACATACTCACTAGAATAAGACAGGTGCTATTATTAAGCCCATTTTGCAGATGAGGGAAGTAAGGCACAGAAACGTTAAGTAACTTGTCTGCAATTATAGGCAGAGCTGGGATTTGAACACAAGTAATCTATCTCTGTGTCCAGCCCTTAGCCATTCCACCGGGTCTCACACTTGATTAAGGATCTCAATGGCAGGCATGGTGGTGCACACCTGTAATCCCAGCTACCTAGGGGTCTCAGACAGAATGATCCCTTGAGCCCAAGAGTTTGAGTCTAGCCTGGGCAACACAGCAAGACCCTGACTCTAAAACAAAACAAAACAAAACACAGCAATGAATGGGGAAAATGGTAGAGTGAGTATAGCTAAAGGAACTTATGGGTTGCAATATTAGACTAAGGAGCTTTTCTAGAAAGCATGAGGAATGTATGAAGTAACAGAAAACGAAAAGAAAAGGTAAGAAATATGGAGAATAAAGTAGAAGTGCCAATATTCAGATTATCAGACCTAGAAAGAGAGAAGGATTAGAAAATAGGAGGCTCTATGATTCTAAACCAAATTGCTCAAGGAATGTTTTTACCTCACTCCTGAACTGACAACAGGGGTGGGTTTCAGCACCTTCAATATCTATCTTTCCCATTCCTGCCAGTGGTGAGGAATTTGTCAACGAAATCAGGAAATCTGAATTCACCATCCCTGCTGGCTTTCCCTGAAGGAGGCCATTCTGTCCAGGTGAATAGCCAGTTACAGCATTTGGGGGTTTTTGCAGACAGAGTAACAGGGTGTAGAAATCAGAGGCACATAAAGGTTTGGGGAACGGGGCGGCAAACTGGTCTCCAGGATATTGTTAGCTATATGGAAACATGGACAGAACCAATGGGAAAGGGTGTTCTTTTAGATCTTTCAGTCAGAAAACTACAGCCAATGAGCCAGATCCAGTAGCCGCCTGTGTTTGTAAACCATCTTTTATTGGAACACAAGACACGCCCGTTCGTTTATTTATTGTCTGTGGTTGTTTTTGCCCTACGATGGCAGAGTCAAGTAGACAGAGACTGGATGGCCCACAAAGAGTACAAATTATTTACTATCTGGCCCTTTACAGAAAACGTTTGCTGACCTCAGACCTGGATTCATGCTTCTGGGTTAAAATCTGTCAGGGCATCCTGCTTGTCCCCTCATGCCTCCCTCCCTCCCACCGTGTCCACAAGGGACTCTTCCTCTACCCTAGCCCCCAACACTGGGCTCAGTCACTGGAATTCATCACTCATGGGTGGGCTCCCGGTGGGATGGTTAGCTCCTCTGCTTGCACCTGAGTAATTAGAAGGGTCGTTTCATATTCTTCTGTGTTCTCGGAGGTGCTGCCCACTTGTGCATTTGGGCAGGGAGGGCTCTGCTCCCTCAGTGGTGGTTGGAGTGAAGGAAGGATGAACCATAGACCAGAGGGTAGTTCCTTCGGCCGCAGGCAGCACTCACAGCTCACTTAATTTGCACAAAGCATACAGAGAGAACCTGACCTCTTGCTCAAGAAAGAAAGAAAGAAAATACAGCTGGAGCTGGGACTGGGAGGGAGAGAAAGGGCTCTCTTCTGGACAGGCAGCTGCTTGTGTTGCGTTGGAGTCCTCTGTCTGTACCTCCATCTGCCCTGGTGAGATAACATTTCACGATGAGAGCTGAGGAGGTGGCTCCCTCCCGCAGAGGTGCATGACTTGGCTGGAGTGTTTTGCTTCGCTGGCACACGTCTTCTCTTTTCAAGTTAGCTGAGCTCACACATCCCCCTTGCTTGTTTGCAAAGTCCATATGGGAGATGAAGGCGAGACAGTTTGACTAAGGGCAGAAGGAGGGAGTGAAGAGGAGGAAATGTGGGAGCGGGGATGCCTGGCCAGACCGAGCCTTCCTCAAATTAGGTCACTGTTTATATAAAAAGTTAAAATTAAACCGAGGACTATTTTCCAAGGTTTCTGACACTGGACATGGCTCTGTGCAGCATCCCTGGAATGCAGTGCAATAAACATCACAGAGCACATGACGTCACACTGAGGGAGAAGCCAGGGAATGTCACTAGCAATGAATCCCAGGCTCTACACAATTATGCTGGAGACAGACAACATCCTTGTTCTCTCTGACTCTTTCCTCTGAGTTTTCCTGCTGGCTTTTTCTGTTCTTCTAATTCTCACGTTTTTATCCACGAGGCAACCATGTCCCCTGAGAGTTACCACACACAGGGCTCTATGTTTCTGTTTGGCCAATAGCATAAAGCTCTTCAACAAAGCTTTGACCTTCCTTCTCCTTCCGACAAATTGTTACGGCCTTACCTTCTCACAGTGATTCCTCAACATGAAACAGCAAGGTAGGTTTCATTATCACCAATCTGCAGATGGAAAAAGCAGGCTCAGCGAGGTTCAAGGACTTCCTTAAAATCACAGAGCAAGACAGCGGCTGAGAGGCACTCAAAGCAAGGTGGTCTATGAGCTTCCCAGTATACCACACCACCCTTCTGACTGCCCTTGTCCTGGCACACCTCCGTAGGTTTGCCATGTTTAAGTGGCAATTAGAAGGGATGTTCCCTGAGGGAAGGGACTCCGGCATATGCCTTAATGCACCTGTGGTGTCCAGCACAGTGCTTGCTACATCATAGACATTCAAAAGTCCGTGTTCAGTGAAGATCCTTATATATGCCCGTTAGCCATGTGTTTGACTTTTTCTCTTGTAGTCTGGAAGGTCTTTGGAGGCCTGGGTTATGATTTTTCCTTAATATGGGGCCAAGTCAATAACCTCAACCTCTGCCTCCAAGAGATTTAAATGGAAATGAAACATTGAGTATAAGATGAACCCACCCGATCCACCAAGCAGTATTCTTTATATGGCTTCCCTAGTGTCAAAATACATCGCTTCAGGCCTGGCCATTGTTGACTCCATTGTTGACATCCTGTCTCCTTCTGGTAGTCAGATTCCTCTTCCATGTTTGAATTCTGTATCTATGTTTTTAAATAAGCCAGGAAACACTCACCCCGCCAGCTCCAAATTAGTTCTTCTTTTCATGCCTTTTCTGTTTCCTGGCTCCATGCCACAGTCTCCCTCCATTAGAATTAAGAAATAGCGCTCAGAGAGTCATATGTCTTCACCTAGTTAGCACCTTTCCTTCGGGACAGCTTCTCTGAGGGTGGCTCCCACATATGCCAGGCTTTTCTCCTAGCAATTCCTAGGTTGTCAGTGTCAGGGGCAGGGAGGAGCATGTGTGAGGATGGGTGTGGGTAGGGGAGGAGAGGGGAAGGTGCAGAACACTGTTACACGAGGCACTCTGTCGTGGTGATTGAAGGAAGCAGTTTCTTGGCCATGTGTCCAGGATGTGCTTTAAGGGAGCCAAGACAGATCATTCATATCTTATGAAGAGTTGTATTTGGAATCTTTAAATAAATAGGAAATGCTTGTCTCTCCTTATCTAACTCTCCATTTGTCTTTTTTAAATCCTAAGTTTCATAAAGATACCTGGAATTAAATCATCCCAAGTTAGGTTTCCATAAAAGTCCTTAGCCAGCAAAATCTTTCTCTCTGGGGCCACCTTTTTCTGGGAAGTTCCCTCAGCTCTGCCCGTCCTCCTACCCTCCGCTGTACTCCCCACAGCCGTCCTTCACAACACTTAGCACACTGTGCTGGGGTGAGATGAGCTCCCTCGTCTCTCTCCCTTTCCCTGTCTTCTCTATTCACACGGAGCCTGGCTCATAACAGAAGGCCAACAAAAGACTGTTGAAGGAATTAATAAATGAGTAAAATTTTCTTGACATTTAGTTTGAATTTTTATTCTCAGATTTCAACATAAGACTATCCTACATGTATCACAAAAGCAGAAATTCCCTGAGGGGAATCTCATATGTGATTATTGAATTATTTTCTAGATTTTAATTTATTCTGCTTTTGCATTCTTTTTTTCAGCTGTCTATTACTTGGTAACAATCTCCTCCCATTATTTAAGAGTTGGTGGTTGGCAGGGCTCAGGTGGCAGTTCTTCAGCATGAAAGTGCAATAGCTCAGGTCACTCATCAGGTGCATTCACCTGGAAGTTCACTGAGACTTACACATCCTTGACGGTCTCTTATTCTGTGGGGGTCTTTCTCTATGTGGTTGCTCATCATTCAGTGATCTAGCCCGAACTTCTTCATAGAATGGCAGGTGGCTTCCAAGAGGAAGCATTTCAAGAGGACAAGCCCCGATGTGCAAGTGCTTATCCAGCTTCTGTTCGGTCACATTTGCTGCTGTTCCACTGGCCAAAGCAAGCCCCATGGCCAAGTCCTCTACCAATGCAGAAGGGACCGTGCGAGGGCATGTCATAGTCTACCACTGTTACAGAACCCAGCTGGGTCTGTTTGACCATGCAGGGCAGAAACCCAAACACTGAAGTGTTGAATTTTTTAGAAAGAAAGTGTTATTGCAGGGCAGCCAAACAAGAAGATAGGAGATGGGTTCAAATCTATCTGCTCATCTCAGCTCACAAGTAGTATATTTAAGGTCAGCAATTTTAGGAGGAGGATTTGGGGGCTGGTTAAGGACTTGTAGAAAGGAAAGGGAAGTTAGGAAATTCTCATTCAAGAAATAAACAAGTGAATAGGAACAGCTCCGGTCTACAGCTCCCAGCGTGAGCGACGCAGAAGACGGATGATTTCTGCATTTCCTTCTGAGGTACTGGGTTCATCTCACTAGGGAGTGCCAGACAGTGGGCGCAGGTCAGTGGGTGCAGCGCACCGTGCTCGAGCCGAAGCAGGGCGAGGCATTGCCTCACTCGGGAAGCGCAAGGGGTCAGGGAATTCCCTATCCTAGTCAAAGAAAGGGGCGACAAACGGCACCTGGAAAATCGGGTCACTCCCACCCGAATACTGCGCTTTTCCGACAGGCTTAAAAAACTGCGCACCAGGAGATTATATCCCACACCTGGCTTGGAGGGTCCTATGCCCACGGAGTCTCGCTGATTGCTAGCACAGCAGTCTGAGATCAAACTGCAAGGTGGCAGCCAGGCTGGGGGAGGGGCGCCCGCCATTGCCCAGGCTTGCTTAGGTAAACAAAGCAGCCGGGAAGCTGGAACTGGGTGGAGCCCACCACAGCTCAAGGAGGCCTGCCTGCCTCTGTAGGCTCCACCTCTGGGGGCAGGGCACAGACAAAAAGAGAGCAGTAACCTCTGCAGACTTAAATGTCCCTGTCTGACAGCTTTGAAGAGAGCAGTGGTTCTCCCAGCATGCAGCTGGAGATCTGAGAATGGGCAGACTGCCTCCTCAAGTGGGTCCCTGACCCCTGACCTCTGAGCAGCCTAACTGGGAGGCACCCCCCAGGAGGGGCAGACTGACACTTCACACAGCCGGGTACTCCTCTGAGACAAAACTTCCAGAATAACGATCAGACAGCAGCATTTGCGGTTCACAAAAAAACCGCTGTTCTGCAAACACCGCTGCTGATACCCAGGCAAACAGGGTCTGGAGTGGACCTCTAGCAAACTCCAACAGACCTGCAGCTGAGGGTCCTGTCTGTTATAAGGAAAACTAACAAACAGAAAGGACATCCACACCAAAAACCCATCTGTACATCACCAACATCAAAGACCAAAAGTAGATAAAACCACAAAGATGGGGGAAAAACAGAGCAGAAAAACTGGAAACTCTAAAAAGCAGAGCACCTCTCCTCCTCCAAAGGAACGCAGTTCCTCACCAGCAATGGAACAAAGCTGGATGGAGAATGACTTTGACGAATTGAGAGAAGAAGGTTTCAGACGATCAAACTACGAGCTACAGGAGGAAATTCAAACCAAAGGCAAGGAAGTTAAAAACTTTGAAAAAAATTTAGACGAATGTATAACTAGAATAACCAATACAGAGAAGTGCTTAAAGGAGCTGATGGAGCTGAAGGCCAAGGCTCGAGAACTACGTGAAGAATGCAGAAGCCTCAGGAGCTGATGTGATCAACTGGAAGAAAGGGTGTCAGCGATGGAAGATGAAATGAATGAAATGAAGCGAGAAGGGAAGTTTAGAGAAAAAAGAATAAAAAGAAACGAACAAAGCCTCCAAGAAATATGGGACTATGTGAAAAGACCAAATCTACGTCTGATTGGTGTACCTGAAAGTGATGGGGATAATGGAACCAAGTTGGAAAACACTCTGCAGGATATTATCCAGGAGAACTTCCCCAATCTAGCAAGGCAGGCCAACATTCAGATTCAGGAAATACAGAGAACGCCACAAAGATACTCCTCGAGAAGTCCTCGAGAAGAGCAACTCCAAGACACATAATTGTCAGATTCACCAAAGTTGAAATGAAGGAAAAAATGTTAAGGGCAGCCAGAGAGAAAGGTCGGGTTACCCACAAAGGGAAGCCCATCAGACTAACAGCGGATCTCTCAGCAGAAACTCTACAAGCCAGAAGAGAGTGGGGGCCAATATTCAACATTCTTAAAGAAAATAATTTTCAACCCAGAATTTCATATCCAGCTAAGCTAAGCTTCATAAGTGAAGGAGAAATAAAATACTTTACAGACAAGCAAATGCTGAGAGATTTTGTCACCACCAGGCCTGCCCTAAAAGAGCTCCTGAAGGAAGCACTAAACATGGAAAGGAACAACCAGTACCAGCCGCTGCAAAATCATGCCAAAATGTAAAGACCATCAAGACTAGGAAGAAACTGCATCAACTAATGAGCAAAATAACCAGCTAACATCATAATGACAGGATCAAATTCACACATAACAATATTAACTTTAAATGTAAATGGACTAAACACTCCAATTAAAAGACACAGACTGGCAAATTGGATAAAGAGTCAAGATCCATCAGTGTGCTATATTCAGGAAACCCATCTCACATGCAGAGACACACATAGGCTCAAAATAAAAGGATGGAGGAAGATCTACCAAGCAAATGGAAAACAAAAAAAGGCAGGGGTTGCAATCCTAGTCTCTGATAAAACAGACTTTAAACCAACAAAGATCAAAAGAGACAAAGAAGGCCATTACATAATGGTAAAGGGATCAATTCAACAAGAAGAGCTAACTATCCTAAATATATATGCACCCAATACAGGAGCACCCAGATTCATAAAGCAAGTCCTGAGTGACCTACAAAGAGACTTAGACTCCCACACATTAATAATGGGAGACTTTAACACCCCACTGTCAACATTAGACAGATCAACGAGACAGAAAGTTAACAAGGATACCCAGGAATTGAACTCAGCTCTGCACCAAGCGGACCTAATAGACATCTACAGAACTCTCCACCCCAAATCAACAGAATATACATTTTTTTCAGCACCACACCACACCTATTCCAAAATTGACCACATAGTCGGAAGTAAAGCTCTCCTCAGCAAATGTAAAAGAACAGAAATTATGACAAACTATTTCTCAGACCACAGTGCAATCAAACTAGAACTCAGGATTAAGAAACTCACTCAAAACTGCTCAACTACATGGGAACTGAACAACCTGCTCCTGAATGACTACTGGGTACATAACAAAATGAAGGCAGAAATAAAGATGTTCTTTGAAACCAACGAGAACAAAGACACAACATACCAGAATCTCTGGGACGCATTCAAAGCAGTGTGTAGGGGGAAATTTATAGCACTAAATGCCCACAAGAGAAAGCAGGAAAGATCCAAAATTGACACCCTAACATCACAACTAAAAGAACTAGAAAAGCAAGAGCAAACACATTCAAAAGCTACCAGAAGGCAAGAAATAACTAAAATCAGAGCAGAACTGAAGGAAATAGAGACACAAAAAACCCTTCAAAAAATTAATGAATCCAGGAGCTGGTTCTTTGAAAGGATCAACAAAATTGATAGACCGCTAGCAAGACTAATAAAGAAAAAAAGAGAGCAGAATCAAATAGATGCAATAAAAAATGATAAAGGGGATATCACCACTGATCCCACAGAAATACAAACTACCATCAGAGATTACTACAAACACCTCTACGCAAAGAAACTAGAAAATCTAGAAGAAATGGATAAATTCCTCGACACATACACTCTTCCAAGACTAAACCAGGAAGAAGTTGAATCTCTGAATAAACCAATAACAGGAGCTGAAATTGTGGCAATAATCAATAGCTTACCAACCAAAAAGAGTCCAGGACCAGATGGATTCACAGCCGAATTCTACCAGAGGTACAAGGAGGAACTGGTACCATTCCTTCTGAAACTATTCTAATCAGTAGAAAAAGAGGGAATCCTCCCTAACTCATTTTATGAGGCCAGCATCATCCTGATACCAAAGCCAGGCAGAGACACAACCAAAAAAGAGAATTTTAGACCAATATCCTTGATGAACATTGATGCAAAAATCCTCAATAAAATACTGGCAAACCAAATCCAGCAGCACATCAAAAAGCTTATCTACCATGATCAAGTGGGCTTCATCCCAGGGATGCAAGGCTGGTTCAACATATGCAAATCAATAAATGTAATCCAGCATACAAACAGAACCAAAGACAAAAACCACATGATTATCTCAATAGATGCAGAAAAGGCCTTTGACAAAATTCAACAACCCTTCATGCTAAAAACTCTCAATAAATTAGGTATTGATGGAACGTATCTCAAAATAATAAGAGCTATATATGACAAACCCACAGCCAATATCATACTGAATGGGCAAAAACTGGAAGCATTCCCTTTGAAAACTGGCACAAGACAGGGATGCCCTCTCTCACCACCCCTGTTCAACACAGTGTTGGAAGTTCTGGCCGGGGCAATTAGGCAGGAGAAGGAAATAAAGGGTATTCTATTAGGAAAAGAGGAAGTCAAATTGTCCCTGTTTGCAGACGACATGATTGTATATCTAGAAAACCCCATTGTCTCAGCCCAAAATCTCCTTAAGCTGATAAGCAACTTCAGCAAAGTCTCAGGATACAAAATCAATGTACAAAAATCACAAGCATTCTTATACACCAATAACAGACAAACAGAGAGCCAAATCATGAGTGAACTCCCATTCACAATTGCTTCAAAGAGAATAAAATACCTAGGAATCCAACTTACAAGGGATGTGAAGGACCTCTTCAAGGAGAAGTACAAACCACTGCTCAATGAAATAAAAGAGGATACAAACAAATGCAAGAACATTCCATGCTCATGGGTAGGAAGAATCAATATCGTGAAAATGGCCATACTGCCCAAGGTAATTTATAGATTCAATGCCATCCCCATCAAGCTACCAATGACTTTCTTCACAGAATTGGAAAAAACTACTTTAAAGTTCATATGGAACCAAAAAAGAGCCCGCATTGCCAAGTCAATCCTAAGCCAAAAGAACAAAGCTGGAGGCATCATGCTACCTGACTTCAAACTATACTACAAGGCTACAGTAACCAAAACAGCATGGTACAGGTACCAAAACAGAGATATAGATCAATGGAACAGAACAGAGCCCTCAGAAATAACGCCACATATCTACAACTATCTGATCTTTGACAAACCTGACAAAAACAAGAAATGGGGAAAGGACTCCCTATTTAACAAATGGTGCTGGGAAAACTGGCTAGCCATATGTAGAAAGCTGAAACTGGATCCCTTCCTTACACTTTATACAAAAATCAATTCAAGATGGATTAAAGACTTAAACGTTAGACCTAAAACCATAAAAACCCTAGAAGAAAACCTAGGCATTACCATTCGGGACATAGGCATGGGCAAGGACTTCATGTCTAAAACACCAAAAGCAATGGTAACAAAAGCCAAAATTGACAAATGGGATCTAATTAAACTAAAGAGCCTCTGCACAGCAAAAGAAACTACCATCAGAGTGAACAGGCAACCCACAAAATGGGAGAAAATTTTCACAACCTACTAATCTGACAAAGGGCTAATATCCAGAATCTACAATGAACTCAAACAAATTTACAAGAAAAAAACAAACAACCCCATCAAAAAGTGGGCAAAGGACATGAACAGACACTTCTCAAAAGAAGACATTTATGCAGCCAAAAAACACATGAAAAAATGCTCACCATCACTGGCCATCAGAGAAATGCAAATCAAAACCACAATGAGATATCATCTCACACCAGTTAGAATGGCAATCATTAAAAAGTCAGGAAACAACAGGTGCTGGAGAGGATGTGGAGAAATAGGAACACTTTTACACTGTTGGTGGGACTGTAAACTAGTTCAATCATTGTGGAAGTCAGTGTGGCGATTCCTCAGGGATCTAGAACTAGAAATACCATTTGACCCAGCCATCCCATTACTGGGTATATACCCAAAGGACTATAAATCATGCTGCTATAAAGACACATGCGCACATATGTTTATTGCGGCACTATTCATAATAGCAAAGACTTGGAACCAACCCAAATGTCCAACAATGATAGACTGGATTAAGAAAACGTGGCACATATACACCATGGAATACTATGCAGCCATAAAAAAATGATGAGTTCATGTCCTTTGTAGGGACATGGATGAAATTGGAAATCATCATTCTCAGTAAACTATCGCAAGAACAAAAAACCAAACACTGCATATTCTCACTCATAGGTGGGAATTGAACAATGACAACACATGGACACAGGAAGGGGAACATCACACTCTGGGGACTGTTGTGGGGTGGGGGGAGGGGGGAGGGATAGCACTGGGAGATATACCTAATGCTAGATGACGAGTTAATGGGTGCAGCGCACTAGCATGGCACATATATACATATGTAACTAACCTGCACAATGTGCACATGTACCCTAAAACTTAAAGTATAATAATAAAAAATAAATAAAAATAAAAAAAATTAAAAAAAGGAAATTCTCTTGGGCATACAGTTATCCTTCATAGGTCACATCTGTAAATTCCGGGGTTGGGGATTGGTATAAAACATGTGGTGGAAATTTGGGATGTGATATCAAAGGTCACGCAGCCAGCAAGCTGATCTCCTTTGCACAAGCTCCAGCCAGCCATATTGGTTCTGGCTGGTTTTAACTGGCCCTGTGGTTTAGTAAGTGGACATCCTATAAAGAAGCTCATACATTTTGTTAATCACCAAAATCCCTTTTAGCCCTGTTCTTTGGTCCGTTTAACCCTGTGAGGCACAGTTTTACCACACTTCCTATACCTTCCTAAGTATTTCCTTGTCACATATTTTAATACTTCCAGTGAGCCTTGTAGATGGACTCCCTTATCTTGAGTTGATTCATAACATACACTGAATGCTGACTAGATGCCAAGTGCCCTGAAGTGATAGAAAATAGGCTCCTTGCCTCAAAGACTATATATTTTATTTGGGGACTTACACTATACAGATTTGAAAATATCTTAAGCCATCTACCAGTGCTGTTTTACGCATATCATATAAATATGAGTCACTGAAGCCACTGAAGTAAGCACAGTGAAAATTTCAATGGTCAGAGTTGCTATGTGATCTAGGTTGCCACCTCTATCCCTGTCCAGAGAAGCTTGTTGTCAATTGATACCAATTCTAAGAAAGAGAACTCCAGCAATTCCTTAGGAAAAAAAATATAAATCTCATGAATGAAACATAGTTGTAGCCCTTGTGATGGCAGCAGCGGGCCGTCTGGAGCGGCCACTGAAATCACACTGACCGCAGCAGGGAGGTGCTGCTGGGGCTACGTGTTCTGTGGAGCTAGTGGGAGCCTTCCAAGTTGGGATGGGAGCTCCCTAGGTGCCACTGCAGCCACCCAAGCCACAACCCGGGCATCCCTGTGCTCTCAAGGCCCAGGAGCAGGGGGAAGCCTGCCCTCCTGGGTGCAGCTACAGCCATCCAAGTTGCAGCTGTAGACCTGGGCCTCTTGCTCCACAGAGCAGACAGGAGCCCCACCCTCCTGAGTGCAACTGCAGCCGTCCAAGTCAGGGCTGTGGACCCGAGCCTCCCCGTGCCCTTGGGGGCCTGAGAAGACCACCCCTCCTGCCCTTGCAGGCTTGGGAGTGCCTACTTCTGCTTCCTGGGTTCTCTGTCAGCACCTGCTCCGATTTTGGAGCAATGTGGAGCCAAGCCAAGGTGTTGTCGCAGCCCGCCAGGAGTGCACATGCTCAGGGCAGCACTGACACACCAGCCCCCTGCTGCCTTGGCCCCCTTTGGACTTTTGGCACCAGCAAGCACAAGAGAAAGGCCAAGGTGGGGCTGAAGACAGCCTGACACTGGCCTGCAGGTGCCCCTTGGCACAAGCAGCCTGGGCACCATGGAGGGCAGCAGGAGGCAGACAGGATCCTGGGCATAAGAGGGTGGGTACCTGATGAGGCCCCACCTTCAGGCCTGGGAGAGCCTGAAGGCTGGGGGCTGGCCTGCCCATCCAGCAGACCAGAGGAGGAACTTGTGGTGCCTTTTCTGGGCCCACCTATGGCCACCTCTGGACCAATTGGCATGTAATTCCTCCCCTCTGAGGCCCATAAAGCCCTGGGCTCAGCCGGAGCTGAGCAGACATCGGGACGACCAGCTGCAGAGAGGAGCTACCCACTCCAGGGCCTCCTCTCTGCTGAGAGCTGCAGATGTCAGGATGACTAGCTGCAGAGAGCACAGAGAGACAACATTGGGATGGCCTGCCTTCAGGGAGGAGCCACCCATTCTTCTCCTCCACTGAGAGCTGCAGACAACAGGAAGACCAGCTACAGGGAGGAGCTACCCTCTCTGCTGATAGCTAAACATTTGTCAGGATGACTTGCCTAGCAGAGAGGAGCTACCCTCTCTGCTAGGAGCTGAACACTCACTGGGACACCCTGGCTGTGGAAAGGAGCTACCCAGTGCGGGTTTCCTCTGAGCTGTTCTATCACTCAATAAAGCTCCTCTTCATCTCGCTCACCCTCCAATTGTCTGCATACCTTATTCTTCCTGGTCTCAGGACAAGAACTTGGAACCCGCCAAATAGTGAGGCTAAAAAAGCTGCAACACCAACAGGGCTGAGACATGCACCTTGCTTGTCACATTGTGGGCAAAGAGAAAAAAAGAAGAACTAGGGCCCTTCAGGGACCCCAGACCTGGGAGCTGCCTAAGCCAGGGCTAGACTTCCTCTTTGGGGCCCCACAGTTCCTGGCATCTCCAAGCTTCTGGGTGCCACTGTATTCCCAGCTGCCAACTGTGGAAGCTGCTTGTGATGCACCTGGTCCAGCTGCAGCTTCACAGAGAGCCGCCACCCATGCTGGCACCTGGAGCTGCCTGCCCTGCTGCAGTAGCTGGCATGTCTGACTGCACAGTGGCCAGACCCCACACTTGCTCACACACCCCTTGCCACTCCACGCAGTCTCCCTTGGCAGGCATGGGGTCCAGGCCAGTATCATGAGCCGAACGCAGTCTGCCAGGATGAGTGGGCAGAACAAACCCAGTGGGCCTGAGCAAAACTCAGGCACAGGTGCCACCAGCCACAGAGGTTTCCGGCCTCTGTGACACCCCAAATGATCCTGTGACACTAGTATGGCGAGCTTTTTATCATGATTATCACAATTTATGTAGTTGTTGTGTTTATCTTTTAGCTTCCTTTCTCTTAATCCCTCACCTAAATAATCATCCAAAGCTATTCGGAGGGAGGAGGGTGCAAGGTGTTCTCAAGGAAGGCAGTGGTTCTCATAGTGCAGCCCCTTAACCAGCAGCACCTTGAAAGTTGTTAGAAATGCAGGTTCTCAGGCCCTCCCCACTCCTACTGCATCAGAACCTCTTGGTGTGGGGCCCAGCAATCTGTGTTTTCACAGCCCTCAGTGATTCTGATGTACAACTAAGTCTGAGAGGCACTGATTTGGGGGCCACATGATTAGGCCATGGTTGTTACTGAGGTGACTTAGCTAGAGCAGGTCATTCTAATTACCTAGGATGGCTGTTCACATACCTGCTGCCAGGTCAGTGCTGCAGCATCTGCCCTAACAAGCAATGAGGGATGAAATAGGATGCTTTTGGTAAAATCACCCAGTTTCTCAGAGAGAAGAAAACTCTCCAGAGAATTTCTACTGCAGAGATTTGGCACGTTATGTGCACTAATTTAGACATACCAATTGAAAATTTCTTTTTATTTTTTTCTATAGACATTGCATAGAAATTCTCTAGAATTTCAAGTACAAGTAACTGCTAGAGGAGCTCTTTGGCTCAAATGTCTGCTGTTACTCTATTTTCTTTTCATTTTCCTATCACATCCCGGGCAAGAATGGCAGATGAGATATACAGAAATCAGGTTAGAAAGAAAGTAATCATACTTCTCTGAAAAAAAGTTTTCGCCCAGATCCAAGATGAAAATTAGAAAGAATTTCATCTTTCCAGAACTGTCAAGCCATCTGGCAAAAGAGCTGACTGATACAATTTTTATATTATTGACCAAATTCTCACACCAGTTTCTCCTTTTCTCATAAGTGTAAATATTTTCCAGTTAAATCTTTGGGGTTGGCAGTGGTGGTGTGGGTGGTTCTTCAGTGAAGGACTCTTGACTTTTTCCATTTCAGACTAAGTGGAGGCAATTTAGAATTATGAATTAAAAGCCTCACGCATTCCTGTCTGATTCAACAGTATCATATCTGTAAATGTATTCCCATTGAAGTAACTAAGAATGTGTGCAAAAAATAGCCATAAAGTATTTATTTCATCATCATTTTCAATAGGAAAAAAACTGGGAGCAATCTAAATATTTAACAATAGAGGATTATTTTGGAAAGTATGCATGTTCGTACATACAGCTAAATAATACACCGCCTTTAAAATGGCAATTCATATGGATTGTAGAAGACTATTACCTGACATGGAAAGATATTCAGGATATGTCATTAACCGGGAGAAGCAGGTTCCATATAGTAGGCACAGACACTTCACATTCAGTAGAATGGCTACTATTAAACAGGGAAAATAACAAGCACTGTTGAGACTGCAGAGAGATTGGAACCCTTGTGCATTGCTGATGAGAATGTAAAATAAGGCAGCCACGTGGAAAAAGTATGGCAGTTCCTCAAAAAGTTAAACATACAATCACCACTGGATCCAGCAATTCCGCTTCTAGGTATATACGCAAAAGAACTGAAAGCAGGGCCTCAAAGTGATACTTATACACCAGTATTTATAGCAGCAGTATTCAGAACAGCTGAAAGGTGTAAACAACTCAAGTGTCCATCAACAAATGATTGAATAAACAAAATGTGACACATTAGCTTAAAAAAAGGAATGGAATTCTGCTACATGTTACAACATGGATTAACCTTGAAAACATTATGCTGAGTGAAATAAGCTAGACACAAAAAGACACATATTGTATAATTCCACTTATATGAGCAACTATTCAATTCATAGAGACAAAAGTAGAATAGAAGTTACCAAGAGTTGGAGGGAGAGAAGAATGGGAACTTGTTGTTTAATGGGCAGAGAGTTTCTGTTTGGGATGATGAAAAACTTCTAGAAATAGACAGTGGTGATGGTTACATGACATTGTGAAGGTACTTAATGCCACTGAATTGTACACTTAAAAATTGTTAAAATGGGCGGGGCATGGTGGCTCATGCCTGTAATCCCAGCACTCTGGGAAGCCAAGGCAGGCGGATTGCTTGAGTCCAGGAGTTTGAGACCAGCCTGGGCAACATGGCGAAACCCCATCTCTACCAAAAATACAAAAACTAGTCTGGTGTGGGGGCATATGCCTGTAGTCCCAGCTACTCGGGAGGCTGAGGTGGATGAATCGTTTGAGCCTGGGAGGTCAAAGCTGCAGTGAGCTGAGATCATGCCACTGCACTCCAAACTGGATGACAGCAAGATCCTGTCTCAAAAAAAAAAAACAAAAAAAAAAAACAAATGGCAAAATTTATGTTTACTATTATGTATATTGCCATTTATGTACACTTTATCACAGTAAAAATGGAAAACATTGTATGTACAATATAATATTTTTACAAATATGTAACACCCACATATTTCCTTAATTTTAAAATGTCATTATTTGTATGAAACACTATTAACTTAATAACAGTTTTTTCAGATGAAAGGAAATACTGTCATATTGTATGCACTCACATATTTAAACTGATTCCCAAAATACCAAACTTTGGAAAATTTGCATCTTAGGAATGAGGAAATGTGTACGTAGGCATGGAAAAAGGTCTGGAAAATGCTCACCACTAGTATAGTATTTTGAGTGGCAGAATTATGGGTATTCTTTATTATTCTATTTTTCCTATATGCATTTTTATATTTTTCTATATAAAGCACTATTTTTGTAACAGTAAGTTTTTATTGAAGGGCATATTAAAAAATATGCCCTTTCTAGAATGGTTTTTTTGAATCTAAGAATTTACAGTTTCACCTACAACATACACTCCCCCCCAGAAAATAATGCCAGGGGATTAAAATCACCATGAAAAGACCTTTCTGCATTCAACCAGGGTGCGGGAACGAGCCATCACTAAGCTCTGTTTTGCTTCATCCAACTTCCCTGTGCCCAGCATCCACATCAATATTTACACACTCCATCATTCCTCGGGTTATTTATTTTCCTTGGTCCATTTTGCACAGTGACTAAGTTTTGCAGCATGGAAGTTGACAGAATTTGTCATTGATATCAATCTTTATTAAGTTTACTGCTGAGAGCTCAGAAAATGGCGGTTCTGGAGCAAGGAACAGGGTGAAAGCAGGAAGAACATCAGGCACTAAGAAAAGCTGTGTGTGTGTGTGTGTGTGTGTGTGTGTGTGTGTGTGTGTGTGTGTGTGTGTTTAAAATGTTTGTCATTGTTGCTCCAACCTTAATTTGCTGATGATTGCATTTCTCTGTAATACTTTTTATTTTTTACAATCAAACAAAATCTACAATTCTGCTACTCAGCAGCCACCACCAGGAAGAGGCCTCTCCTCTCTTGCCTCTTCCTGGCAAGACTCCTGGCCGAGCCTAGGTTCTGAATCTCATGGGCTTCCTTCTGCTGCACAGCCAGCCTCTCACAAAGAGCTGGGTTCTGTAGAGAAGAATCTTCAGGCAGCAAGTCTTCTTCTGGATCTTCTGAAACTAAAGAAACTAAGACCGTGTGTAGCATGACATTTATTGCTTGTGTATTATATGGTGTGTTTGGAAAGAGCAAGGTGAAACTGCCCCTATAAACTTTATAAAATTAGTTAGAGAAGAAGGGAGGGAGAAACAAAAATAAACTAAGCTTGCAGCACGTTCCACATTAATCATTAAGTGAGCTTACTCTCTGCCCTGCTTCCTCAAAGCTGTTTGGTACCTATGGTCCTAGAATCATATAGACCTTAGACGACAGTTCTCCTGAACAGCTCTTTAGATAACAACTTGAACATCATGAAACGTTAAGTTTTCCCTTTGAGATATTCCTTCAGGTCCTGCAAACTGATGTAACAACTGACTCAACTGGTCTGAAGGGCCCACAAGGAGCTAACTCACCAATGGATGCAGCTTCCACAGCTCCATGATTTCTTCCTCCCTGCCCCAACCAACCAACAACCTCAGTTTTCAAACCCTTCACCTTCCACAGTCCCCTTAAAAGCCCCAGCCCAGAACTCCTCAGGAAGACAGATTTGGAGGTCTCCTCCCATCTCCTCACACAATGCCCTGCAATCATTAAACTCTTTCTCTGCTGCAAACCCTACTGTCTCAGTGTAATGGGTCCGTTACTGGGCAGCGGGCATACAAACCTGTTGGTTCTGTAAAAAAGAGCTCTAGAAAGAACCCTACTGCTCGGCTTCACTGCTTCTAGCTGTGCGATCTTTGACAGATTCCTCGCTGCTCTATGCCTCTAGTCCCTAACCTGAAACATAGGGCAAATAATACTCCCTAGCTCACAGAATTGTTATGTTATTAAATAAGTTAATATATATATAAAGTACTTGGAATAATTCCTGGAGCATAGGATGCACACAACAAAGGTTAGTTCTTTTATTATAATTTGGAGCCAGTTCCCACTAAAAGCTGTAACCCAGGCTTGGGGGCTACCCTTTTACTCTCAACAGAAAGATCTGTGTTGAGAAGGGTAGCTCTTTCCCACTAAAGATTCATATAGGAAGGAAGAGACAATTCTAAGCTGGTCTTCATGCTGTCCTTTATTTAGTGTGGGTTGGCAGCCTCAAGCATGAAGCCAGGCTACAGAATGCTAGGGAGCCAAATTAATGCAGAAACTTGCCTAGTGTGAGACTGAGGAAGATGGAGCAAGTCAGTTTAAACAGAGCCACAAACAACAGTAAGCTTTAAATGTCTCAGCTACAGTCTCAGACTCACATCATCTTACAGGCAGAAGAACGTGGAGTAAGTAGTTGTGTCACATCAACCTTTTTAGCCATTCTGCTAAGCATGAAAATTAGTCCCGTAAGCAAAATACCTGAATTAGCTTTTGAACTTTTCTTTATTGAATGAATTTCAATAAAGTGAACACACCCATGGACTTCCTACCCAGATAAAGATATAGGACATTACCAGAATGTCAGAACTTTCTAATAATTGCTGCACTGCAGTGTCAGCTTTGTTGTAAATCAGGGGATTTAAATGTGTATGTTCAGACTTCTTAGTCTGTTCCAACGGTCTACTAGCCACCAAGATTGCACTGTTTTAAATTAACGTAGCTTTATGATACTTCCTAATATCTAGTATTTTATTTCTTTTCTCTCTCTCTTTTTTTTTTTTTTTTTGAGACGGAGTCTCACTCTGTTGCCCAGGTTGGAGTGCAGTGCTGTGATCTCAGCTCACTGCAAACTCAGCTCCTGGGTTCAAGCTATTCTCCTGCCTCAGCCTTCTAAGTAGCTGGGATTACAGGTGTCTGCCACCATGCCTGGCTAATTTTGTATTTTTAGCAGAGATGGGGTTTCACCATGTTGGCCAGGCTGGTCTCGAACTCCTGGCCTCTGGTGATCCACCTGCCTGGGCCTCCCAAAGTGCTGGGATTACAGGCATGAGCCTCCGTGCCCGGTCAGTACTTTATTTCAACTTTGTTTTTCTTTAAGATTGTCTTGGACACTTTTTGTCCTTAGCATTTCCATATAAATTTTGTAATCAGAT
Organism: Homo sapiens; assembly: GCF_000001405.40. Classification (NCBI taxonomy): domain Eukaryota; kingdom Metazoa; phylum Chordata; class Mammalia; order Primates; family Hominidae; genus Homo; species Homo sapiens. Next base: position 14,494,328 of record NC_000006.12, read on the forward strand.
TGTAAATTTCTAAAAAAAAAACCTGCTGAAATTTTTATTGGGATTACATTGACTACACAGATCAATTTAGGGGAGAAAATGACACCTTTATCAACACTGAATCTTCCAATCTATGAACACAGTATATCCCTCCATTTATTTAGGTCTTCTTTAATTTCTCTTAGTAAAGCTTCATAGAGAGGTAGGGGTCTTGAAAAACAATTTCTAGGTTAAAGGGCATCATCTTAAAATTTTGTTTTCTAATTATTTGTTCCAATCTAAGAATACAATTAATTTTTTTTGCACCCTGACCTTGAAGCCAATGGCTTTGGTAAATCCACTTATTAAATATCATAGTTTATCAGCAGATTCTTTTTGAGATTCTATATACATAAGCATATTTTCTTTATACAGTAATAGTTTTTAAAGACTTTTTCCCAATTCTTATAACTCTAATTTTTTTATTCTTTATTGCAGTATGCCCTCCAGTAAAATGTCATATAGAAATAATGATAGCTGAAATCCTCATCTTTTCCCAAAATCAAGTGAAAATATTTCAGTACACTACTGTTAAGTAGGATGCTTGCCATGGATGTTTTGTGTATACTCTTTGTTAGTTTAAAGAAGTTCTTTTAATTCCAAATTTACTGAGAGTTTTCATCATGAATAAGTGTTGAATTTTATCAAATAATTTTAATGCATCTGGGGAGATGATGATATGATTTTTTGCCTTCATCTGTTGTTAATGTGGAGAGTTTCACTAATTGATTTTGGAATGTTAAGCCAACCTCGCACACTTTGAATAAAGACAATTTGGCCATTATGCACTATCTTTTTATACATTAATGTTCAGTTTACTATTTTTTTGGTTAGAATCTTTGTGCCTATTTATGACAGGGATTATGTTGTATTTTTTTTTTCTTGTAATATCCTTGTCAAGGTTATGCTAGCCTCATGAAATAAGATAGAAAATGTTTTCTCCATATTTCAGGTTAATTGGTGTTATTTCTTTCTTAAAAGGATGACTTCATGTTGAACTTAACTGGACCTGGATTTATCTTTGAAGTGAGGTTTTTCATTTTAAATTCAATTTCTTTAGGAGAAATAAGATTGCTTATGTTTTTCTATCTCTCCTTGTGTTCATTTTGTAAGTTGTATTTTTCAAAGAACTTTTCTACTTCTAAATTTCTCCACAACTTATTTTAAATATTTGTTGAAACTGTAGTGACTTCCCATTTTTCATTCTTCATATTGAGAATTTGTGTGTTTTATTTTTTTGTTCTTGATCAGGCTTGTTAGAGTTTGTCAACTTTATCAATCTTTTTTAAAAAAGTTTATCAATCTTTTAAACAACTTTTTGTTCTGTTGATTTTGTCTATTTTTGTTTTTCATTTCATTGATTTCTGCTCTTAACTTTATTATTACATTCCTTCAATTTTCTTTAAATTTTTTCCTCTAGTTTCTTGAAATAGATGCTTAATCTCAACTTTTCTTCTTTTTCCATATATGCATTTAAAACAAAAAATTCCCATCTTGGCATTATTTTAGTCACATAACACGAGTTGTTTTGTTTGTTTGTCTGTTTTTTGAGACAGAGTCTCGCTCTGTCACCCAGGCTGGAGTACAGTGGCATGGTCTCTTGGCTCACTGCAACCTCCACCTCCCAGGCTCAAGTGATTCTCCTGCCTCAGCCTCCTGAGTAGGTGGGAATACAGGGGCCCACCACCACACCCAGCTAATTTTTGTATTTTTAGTAGAGATGGAGTTTTGCCATGTTGGCCGTGTTGGTCTCCAACTCCTGGCCTCAAGTGATCCATCCACCTCAGCCACCTAACGTGCTGAGATTACAGGTGTGTCTGGCTTCTATTTCTATTGTCTATGTTATTATTGTTCTCATAAATATAATGTGTCTTTCTCTGGCTGCTTTTAAGATTTTACCTTTGTCTTTGATTTTTGCAGTTTTACCATGCTATTCTAGTATTTTTGTTTGGTATTGATCCTGTTTTGAAAAACCATTTTGAAAAATTCTCAATCAGAATGCCTTTGAATATTTTCCTGATTATGCACACATTAAGCTACATGAAGTTTTTTCACAGCTCACTTATACTTTTATCATTTGTTTGAGTCTATTTTTTCTGTGCTTCATTTAGGATATTTTCTCTTACTATACATCTTCAAGTTCACTAATTTTTTCTTCTACTATGTCTAATCTGCCATCAATCCCATTTATTATTTAATCTCAGACAGTAAAGTTTTTCTCCAGAAGTTTCATTTGGATCTTTTAAAATATTTTCCATATCTCTACTTCACTATCTGAACATATAGAATAAAGTTCTAACAACTGGTTTGTTCTTGTCTGCTAGTTCTAACTAACCTCTGTGCTGGTTCTGGATTGCCTTCAATTCACTGATTATTCTCCTCACTATAGGTCACGGTTCTTTGAATGCTTGATATCTTTATTTGGATGCCAAACATTGTGGATTTTTACCTTGTTGAGCTCTGAATATTTTTGTTTAAATATTCTTGTATAACTATTCTTGAGCTTTGTTCTGGGATGTATTGGAAATGATTTGATTCTTTCAGCTGTAACTTTTATGATTTGTTAGGCAGGTCCATAACTGCTTAATCTGAGGCCAATTATTCTCCATTACTAAGGCACAACATTGCTAAGTATTCTACCCAAATGCCTCATGAATTGAGTTTTCCAGTCTGGTTGGTGGGAATAGTCACTATTCTCAGCTTTGTGTATGTGTCAGGCACTATTCTCTCATTCTTCCAGATTTTTTTTCTTGCCCCATTCTTGGGTAGCTTCCTCACATGCATGTGTTGGTCTGTACTCTGTTGTGCACACAGGGGGAACCTTTGCAGACATCCAGGGTTTTCCCTTTGTATGCCGTCCCATGACCTCTGGCCATGGTGATCTCCTACATCCTCAGCCCCATCTCCTCTGCTCTACCTGGGTTTCCCCTCCCTGCACTGCAGCCTGGAAGTTTTCTGAAGGCAGTAAGCTGGAGTACTCCTAGGACTCCCCTTCATGCTCTGTCTGAATCACTGCCCTTTGTTTCCTGCTGAGAAGTCTTGAAAATCATTTTTTCATATATTTTGTATGTTTTTCTATTGTTGTTTCGGAAAGGAGGATAAATTCACGCCCTTTTATCTCACCTTGGGCAGAAGCAGAAGTTGGTGCATTGTATTTTAAAAATTTAGTTGACTGGGGAACTCTTTTTCATGGTGCACATTTTGGGAAATTTTAGGTTAAAGTTAATCTGACAGGCACTGGACACTCGATATTTTTTGAACTAAGAAATGGAATTTACCTATTAAAATTCAAATCCCTTTGAGAGGTAAACCCCTTAAATCATTAACATCCATTAGCACTGATTAGTTTATCTGAAGATTGGCTTTCCATTTATTTCTTGTCTAGCAGAGAAGAAAAAAATGGAAAAAATAAAATTACAGAGTCAGAAAATTAGGTTGTTAGGAGCGGATAAAGATAAGGGCCAAAGCTTAATAGTACCAAAGAATCTTTTTTTTAATTGATTTTTTTTTTTTTTTTTTTTTTTTGGAGCATCTTCTTTCTACAGGTGAGGTGAGGTGAATCTTGCAGAGGGTAAGTGTCTTACCTGAGGTCATGCAGCTTGGAATGGAAGAGCTGGGATTACAGCCTGGTTCTAAACTAGGCAACACATTTAAATGTGTTATATAGGAAATGATCAATAAATACTAATTTTTCTTTCCTTCTCAATCTAGTGCTGGAGCAGAGGTACTGAATGAGGAAGTGGAGTCTTGGGATACCTTTGGAGGGATCCAGTTAATGGACTGGCTGCCATAATTGGTCTGAGACACTGGTGCAAGCATGGTAGGTATGAGGGACTAAAAGGAAGGAAACAGCCCACTAGAGGACAATAATCCGAGTACAGAGATAGTATGGGAGCAAGTGACACATATGGTAAATTAAAAAGTCACTGCCCCTGTAATCCCAGTACTTTAGGAGGCCGAGGCGGGTGGATCACGAGGTCAGGAGATCAAGACCATCCTGGCTAACACAGTGAAACCTGGTCTCTACTAAAAATGCAAAAAATTACCCTTGGCATGGTGGCATACACCTGTAGTCCCAGCTACTCGGGAGGCTGAGGCAGGAAAATTGCTTGAACCTGGGAGGTGGAGGTTGCAGTGAGCCGAGATCACGCCACTGCACTCCAGCCTGGGTGACAGAGTAAGACTGTCAAAAAAAAAAAGTCACTGCCAACAACTGAAAATACCTCCAGGTATTTCCTTCCTTCCTTCCTTCCTTCCTTCCTTCCTTCCTTCCTTCCTTCCTTCCTTCCTTCCTTCTTTCCTTTCTTCCTTCCTTCCTCCCTTCCTTCCCACTTCCATAGTGGGAGCTCGGAGCCACATGTAATTTCATTTTTTTTTTTTTAAATAATGAACTGCCATGTTTCCTACTTCCAAATTCTAGAGTGCAATTCGTACCTGCTACACTCTGATGAGAGGGTGTAAGCTTTATTTGTAGAGCTGGAGTTAGTTTGGGCATTGCTATCATGATGATAGGCATTTTTAAGAGGCAGAGAATCAGGCAGGAAAATAGCACAAAGTAAATGCAGGGAACAGTTACAAAATAAATAGAAAACTTGGGCTCTTAACTTCAAGAAGCTTAATCTAAGCAGAGACATCAGGAAAACACACATCAAAGGACTTAGTAAAATGCCCCAAGTCAAATCACTGCTGTGCACAACACATACACTTGTAGGAATGATAGCTATTATTATCATAATTTGTTGAGTATCTACTATATGCAGGCATGTAGGCACTTTTTTTAAATTTAATTTTATTTATTTTTTAGAGACAGGATCTTGCTCTGTTGCCCAGGCTAGAGTGCAGTGGTATGATCATAGCTCACTGCAGCCTTGACCTAGCAGACTCAAGCGATCCTCCTGCCTCAGCCTCCAGAGGAGCTAGGACTACAGGCACACACCACCATGCCTGGCTAATTTATTTTTATTTTTTGGAGAGATGAGGTCTCCCTATGTTGCACAGTCTGGTCTCAAACTCCTGGGCTCATGTGATCCTCCCACCTTGGCCTTACAAAGCGCTGGAATTACAGGCGTAAGCCACCACACCTGGCCCACTTAGGAACTTTCTATATGCTATAGCATTTAATGTTCACTTTTAATGAGGAAATTAGGACCAGAGAGGTGAAGCAACTTGCCCACAATCACACAGCTAGCAAATGACAGAACTAGGTCTCAAGGTCAGGTCTGTCGTTTCCATCACCTTTGCTCGCATCACCACCCTTCTAAAGACAAACAGAGTAGTGGATCCTTAGATGCCAAGAGATAAACTTGGGATCAACACAGCTGGGAGGACCCAGCAAGAATTGGCAAAGTAGAGGGCATATTTTATAATTTAAGAAGCAAAATGCTGTCACATGTCAGCAGAGTCAAGGGGGAAAAAAGTGCATAAAACTAAAAAAATTAAGAATGATAAAGAAAAACCAAGTAGGTAAGGATGAGGGTGTGTTGACCCTTGTTTCAACTCCACTGGTTTCTTCCCCACAAAATCATTTAGGGAATAGAGAGACAATAACAGGAGGGCAGAGGCACTTAATCAGAGATTTTACAAACCACTAAATCAAAAGAGACTGTGAAATTCCCGCCCGGGGAAGCTAACAGTGAGATTAAATGGATTAGTCTACTGTACAGGAATCCGGGGAATGCAGGCAGCATGTGCTTTTGTTGTGGATTGCTCAGCAGCAACACGATAGTTTTACATCTCCCAGAAACATATGGGCATGTGCCCTTCTGCAAACCAGCAAGCAAGAGCAGCGCCTGGCGAGCTGCTTCCCCTACACCACACGTCTCGTTTCAGGAGGTGGCAGATAGTGACATTTTATGGAGAGCTTGCGCAGGGAACGTGTGGGAAATGAAAAGGCAACCCAGCTAATCGCACCCATAATTTCTAAGCTCAGAGCTGGGTTCACTACGGTTGTGGGGAATAAAAAAAGAACTGGAATTAGGAGTTCTGGTATTAATCCTTGCAAAGAAAGGGAGAAGAGGCTGGGTGCAGTGGCTCACGCCTGTAATGCCAGCACTTTGGGAGGCCTAGGCGGGCGGATCTCTTGAGGCCAGGAGTTCGAGACCAGCCTGGTCAACATGGTGAAACCCCTTCTCTACAAAAAAAAAAAAACATTACAAAAATTCGCCGGGCATGGTGATGCGCACCTGTAGTCCCAGCTACTCGGGAGGCTGAGGCAGGAGAATCACTTGAGCACGGGAGGCGGAAGTTACAGTGAGCCAAGATCGTGCCTCCATGCTCTGCTTGAGTGACAAAGCGAGACTCATGCCCAAACCAAAAAAAAAGTGGGCTGGCTGGGAGCGGGGGAGAAGAAGGAGGCCTCTGACAGTGTGTCTCCCAAACTTTGGAGGCAACTGCTACCTGAAGATAGCCGAGAAGACTCCTTAGCTCCTTTCCTTTTGGTGTTAACGGCAGCAGTGGTAGCACATGGAATTAAACTCACAAAACACACAGATTGCTAGTTTCCAGAAATCCACATCCAAACTCCAAAAAGCCAGACATTGGTTAGATATATGTACAAACTCTGACCCGCCTGAGTTAACGGTTGACATCAGCAGTCTATAATAAATAATTAATATAGCCCTAGGAGACATAAAGCCAGCAACATGGTATCTCTCCCTCAGCTCTAAATGGAATGCCAGATAACCTACTTTGAAGAGTAATGTGTTCACAGTATGTGGGAATTAACTGCTCAATATAATAAGTACTATTGAATTTCCCATCTCCATGCACATGGAGGGCAACTGCCACCAAAAACACAGTAATAACAGTAACTGAGTGATGAAAAAAAGAGCCCCATTTTTTATTACAACCTTAAAATGTTATAGGTTAAAATAATCTTAAAGGGTTTAAAAAACAGCAATTAAATCTTTCCATTTCTGTTTTCCAAGACTGCAGCTGAGAACACGAGGGCCTAAGAGCCATACGGTGCTAGCCTTGCTAATAACGCTCTGTGAAAAATCTCATTAATTCAGTCTGGCTCTTCAGATCAGCCGCTAAATCCTTGTATTGTCACTCATCCTCTGGCCTTTTCAGGATTTCCATAGCCTAACTAGAAGTATCTCCATGGAAACCAAGCAGTCCTGCTTTGCACATCCCGGAACTTTTTGTTCCTGACAAAGCTTGACAAATCACATGCAGCATGGAGAGTTTAACATAGCGAACTAAATCCTGACCCGCACTTAGAAATGATAAACCCAAGCATACCAGCTTTATTATAAATGATTTCCTTACAAGATACTTAACCAAGCCAGTGAAATGCTGAACCAGACAAGTTTCAAGAACAAGGTGCTGGGGGGGAGAAGGGGGGGGGGGGAAGGCAAATAAATAAATAGATAAATAGGAACCCCAGGTGTGTTCAGCTGTAGGTTCTGCGAGCTCATTTTCTGTCTAATTGACTTAAATTGAAAGCAACTGAAGGCGAGAAAGAGCGAGAAGGATGCTGTTTCTGAGAAGGCCTTCCTTTTTTTCCTCTGGAGAAAGTGAAATCCTAAATCCATTCCCTCATTTTCCCTAACTCCTGAAGAGAATGGGAATCTACAGGTCTCTATCCCTGGTGAGCCCGGAGGTTGAGTTTTCACAAGGGCAGCAAGAAGAATCCCTTCTCCTCTTCCTGTCCACCTTCTGAAGAGGAGGAGACAGAGCCGGGTTGCAGATCCTCACCAAAGTGGATGCTGTTCCCAGAGGAAGGAAGGCCCCCCCGGGGCAAGGTTGCCAACATGACCCCACAGAGACCAGGAACAAACGTTCTTGCCTTTGGACTTCACTTCTTCACAGAGCCAGAGTTACAGGCCAACCTGAAGATGGTATCATGACTCACACACACTTATTTCTCAGCCTCAGCCAGGCTCAAGAGCAAGACTGCTGAAGGAGGAAGGGCCCTTCATGGCCTCCTCTGCCTCGTGACTGCTTTACCTGCCACTGATGAGGCTTCCCTGGGATGAGATGGAGACGAGGGCACTGAATGACTTTGAGTTAGGGGGACTCAAGAGGGTGAGGGCACCATGATCATTACCCCTTCAGTCTCCTGTCTCCCTCTTGGCATCTCTGCAACACAGAAGGCTGGCAATGGTGAGATATTATATTGTCAATTATTCAAACTTTAGAATTTTCTGATGCCTCAACATCCCTGCAAATGGGCTGTGAGCACCTTGCCCAGGTGACCAGGTGCACCAGTGTGCTAAGGCTGGTCCGGGCCACAGGTTCCCCACTTTGTGCTCCCCTGACTGGGACCTAGTGACATCAACACCACCAGTGCAATCCCCTCACACCTTTTGCTTGTGGATTCCCCTCTGAAGTCCAATAAAGGCGCTTGTCTGAGTCCTCTCTCTCTCATCTCTTTCTCTCTCTCTCTGTCTCAACTCTGCACTACCTTGGTTGAGTCAGCTCCCTTGGCACTCCTCCAATGTGGCCCCACGTGGCAGGGTGCTCTTCACGACCTTTGCTAGCCTCCATCCATCTACTTAATATGCTCTCCGAGTATAATTCCCATGGCCATGTGGGGTGATCTTTAAAGACCCCACACGGGATTGCTCCCCCATTTATAAGAAGCAAGTGACAAGAGAAGGCCCAGGGCAGTACAGGGAGGCCTGGGAAATGCCACAAGTCCTCCTTATATTCTGCCTCCTTAGCCTGAGCCTTGATTCCACTTGGAATCACACTAGGGGTATCTTCAAAGGTCTGAGACAGAAGTCTTCCTTCTTGGGTTCTTGGTGTGGAGGCTGGTGATGTTTTTGAGACACCATAATATTTGTAGCATTGGCGATGCCTTGCCTAGACAAACCACAGAAGACTAGACTGACCTCTGCATGGGCAGCAGTGTCTGAACTCTCATCACCCAAGAACTCGCCAACACAGCGCTACTGGGTATTTACAACAACAACCAGTTCTGGACACATTGTACACGGTCTACAAATACTTGCTGATTAACTGAATTGGGGCCTGTAAGATCCCACAGCTCCCTCAGATTCTTCAAAGCAAGAGTAAATGAAGCTTAGTCTCATTTCAACCTTCAGTGAACACTACTGTGCTCTGTGAAAGTTGAGAATCCATATAATAATAATAGTAATAATAATAATAATGGCAGTTAGCTGTTATCAAGTTCTTACCCTGTAATACCAGGCGTTCTTCTGAGTGTTTATTATATACATATATTAGCTCCTTTAATCCTCCTAATGATCACCTGGAGAAGATACTATTATTATGCCTATATTATTACCTTCATTTTATCAATGAAAGTACTGAGACACAAAGGGCTTAACGAACTTGCTTAAATTCACAGAGCTGGGCTTTGAACCAAGGCAAACTCTAGCATTTATGCATTTAACCACTACCCTTTGCTGTCTCTTGTGATACTATCAATGCTAAGTGCCTCAAACCAAAATATTCAGTAAATTATAATAGCTACTGTTGGGGCTCAGAAAACAACACCCCAAAATGAAGACCTCAGAAGTGGCTTCAGAAGCATCCTCAGGGCCAGGCAAGGTGGCTCACGCCTGTAATCCCAGCACTTTGGGAGGCCGAGGCAGGTGGATCACATGAGCTCAGGAATTCAAGACCAGCCTGGCCAACATGGAGAAATCCTAAAAATATAAAAATTAGCTGGGCATAGTGGCACACACCTGTAATCCCAGCTACTCGGGAGACTGAGGCAGGAGAATTGCCTGAGCCTGGGAGACGGAGGTTGCAGTGAGCCGAGATTGCGCCACTGCACACCAGCCTGGCCGACTGAACCAGACTCTGTCTCAAAAAAAAATAAAAAAGAAGTATCCTCAGAAGCAAACATTTTTCTTCGACCTTCTCCTGTCCTCCTGTCTCTCAGTCCTATTGTCCCCCAAGACTAGTCATAGAAATTGGGATTCCCTCTTTCCCAAGTGGAGTCATACAAACCAGAACCTCTTTTCCCCAAAGCTAGGAATGAAACCTAAAAGTATTACTCTAATTTCCCTTCCACCTTTCTGTGTAAAAACTGGACATTCAGAAATGATCTGATCTACCTTGTTTGACTGTCAGTCATAAGACCTCCACTGCCATTCCAGAGAGAGTCCTGTGCCATTCCAGAGAGAGTCCTGTCCCATTCCCAGAAGGAGGAAATGGTGCACAGAGAAGCCAAGAAGAATCTAGAAAGGCAGGCCTTGCTGGGTGTCCCCACTCAGTCTATTAGTATTAGATCATACCCTCTTTGTCCAATCACCTTTCCACAGGGTCGTCCATCCTTTGTGAAACCTAAGCATAAAAATGGACAATTGGCCGGGCATGGTGGCTCACGCCTGTAATCCCAGCACTTTGGGAGGCCAAGGCGGGCAGATCGCAAGGTCAGGAGATCGAGACCATCCTGGCTAACATGATGAAACCCCGTCTCTACTAAAAATACAAAGAATTAGCCGGGCGTGGTGGTACGTTCCTGTAGTCCCAGCTACTCGGGAGGCTGAGGCAGGAGAATTGCTTGAACCCGGGAGGCAGAGGTTGCAGTGAGCGAAGATCCCGCCACTGCACTCCAGACTGAGCGACAGAGCGAGACTCCGTCTCACAAAACAATAAAGGACAATTTTCCAGACTCTATCTTTGAGTCTTCATTCTGAAAGCTCCTGTGTTTACCTGTTAAATACGTTTGTATGCCTTTTCTCCAGTTAATCTGTCTTTTGCAAGTTGATTTTTCAGTGAAACTTCAGAAGGCCCCTTGACCCCACCTTAGCAATTATGAAATGCTCGCTCTGTGTGGGGTACTACTCTGGCTTTATACACATCACCTCATTCACTATTATTAGCACCACTTTTCAGATGAGGAAACTGAGGCACAGAGAAGTTAAGTAACTCACCCAAAGTCATATAACCAATAAATGACAGAACCAGATTCTAACCCAAGCATCATGGCTCCAGAAGTTCCCATCAGCCAGTACCCTGGTTTCCCTGATCATTCGAGAAAGATGTGGAGTAATATTCCATGGAACACCTGTTCTAGGCAGGGACATTCTCTTTCTGAACGACCCCATCCAGCCCATCAGACGAGCTGGGTATTGTTATCTTTTTTCTTACAAGACTTCCTTTCAAACTGCTTTTTTAGAGGTGCTCAAAACAACTTGAGGCCCAGAGTGAGCCGGTGGGAAGGGCTGCCCTTTGCCCTGGTCCTGGGAGGACACACCTGAGTGGACATAGCCTTTTGACCCCTCTCAAGGAGCCGAGAATAAAGTGCCTGTCACGCTCACACACAGGACTGTCAGTGAGTTCAGCTGAGTCCCGCTCTACATGCAGGCTCTGGAAGATCAGACAGCGCTCATTGGGTAGAGGGACAGTGCCAATGCTTGGGAACCTAAAATTAGGCCTACCAGCTGTGTTTTGGGTTTGCAGGCACGTGCACATCTGATCCATTCTTGAGCACACTGGGTATTGAAATATATATGAAACCTGCTTTCTGAAGTACAGAGAAAGCATAAAATTCTTGCACCTTTTATTTTATTTATTGTTTCTCTTCTGAGGCCCTAACTTCTTCTTTACAGCCCAGGGAATGACATTTCTCCCCTGTCCGTTTTCCCCTCTGGGCTGCTTCCTCTGAAGAAAACATCAACCCTCACCCTTAAGAAACCCGGGCGGTCACTTTGGGGCTGGAACACGGGCATGTCATTTCTCCTCTCAGCCTGGGCTCTCTGTTTCCTGGATCACAGGCTCTTCTAGAATCTTCAGCCTGCTACACTTAGCAAATGGGGCCCAAGGCTGAGCCTAAGGTGGTCCAAGAGCTGGTTCTTGGCTTAGGAGTGGATAGGCTGAAGTGCATGGCGCAGAGCCTTGGAGGAGAATTGGAGGAGAGGACATGGGTTTATATCCCAGGTGAGGACAAGCTGGGCACGAAAGAGAGGGTAGGACAGGAGGCCTAAGACAGGGGGCAGAGAGCAAGCATACGGCCCCAGACAAAAGGGTTAGCCACAGAGAACCGGCAAGGTGGAACTAAGATTGGCAGGCACTGCCCGGAAATATTCCTGGAGGTGTTTGCTCCAACAGAGTGAGAACTTTCTATAGCAGCCCTGCCCGATAGGACTTTCTGTGACAATGGAAGTGTGCTACAGCTGCACTAACGGATGAGGTAGCCACCAGCCACATGGGACAATTAAGCATTTGAAATGTGGCTTATGTAACTGAGGTACTGAATTTTTAATTTAATGTAATACTTTAGAATTTAAATGGCCACATATGGCTAGTGGCTACCATATTGGACGGTGCAGTAGGAAGAGGAAGGAGCTCTGCCAGTGTGCACAGTAAAATGTCACAGATTGGAATCAATGCCTGGAGCAATGTCAGCTCTTCCACTCTAGCCACCTGCCTTTATGCAGAAGCACACCTCAGCCATTCAACCTATGGTTGGCTCTCTAGTCTCTTTCCTGCCGCCCTCCTGGGAAGATGCCCCCATTTCTCTTCTGTAGCCCTTTTCAGAATGAAGTAGTCCTTGCTGTCAGGAGCGCCTTCCTGGCCCAAGTTCAATTTTACCTGTTGGGTGTACGCCCATTTCCTTAGTGCAGTCTTTTATGTCCTGAGCAATTCTTCCTGCCCCCGTGTTGACGGCATACACATTCTTCTGTCTATGTTACTTCTCAGACTCCCAATTCCAACTCTCTGTTTCTGGACTGTTTTTCCTCTTATCTGGGCCACTGCAGCCTCCTAGCTCACTTCCCTGTGCCTACAATTATTGTTTGCACAACAGGCTGAGTGATCTTTCAAACACATGAATGGGAACCTCTCTCTTTTAAGCATGAAATCATTCAGGAGCTTCCTTCCCAGGCATGAGCCAGTCTCTGCCTACCTCTTCATCTCATCCTGCACTGCCCTTCCTGAGGCCTCCATCAGTCCCTCCCTACCCGTTGTCACCCCAGCTCTTCACATTCTATCAACTCCCTGCAGGCAGGGCCTTTGTCTGTTCATGCCTAGGGATGTAGTGCCTGGTGTATAGAAGGTGCTCAGGAATTATTTGTTGAGTGAATGAGTGAATAATGGATTAGTACTCCAAGGACATAATAGGTGGATACCATCACTAATGTATTGTTAATAGCCAACTGTAGTATATCCCTTAAAGTACTCAATATGCTTGAAAGATGTTTTTACATTGATCCCGAAATAAAAATGAAGAATGTGTTTCTTAAGTCCTGACCCATACACCAGAATAAAGACTATCTATCTCAAGCGTGTGACTCCTCCCAGGCCCCACAGTATCTTGGGCTTGTCTCAAAATATACTGTATTGGGTGAAGTGTGCTGGCTCACTCCTGTAATTTCAGCACTTTGGGAGGCTGAGGTGGGAGGATTGCTTCAGGCCAGGAAATCAAGACCAGCCTGAACAACCTAGCAAGACTCCATCTCTACCAAAAAACAAAATAATAATAACCCAGCATGGTGGTGTGCACTGGTGGGGGTGGGGGTGGGGTCTGAGGTGAGAGGATTGCTTGAGCCCAGGAGTAGCTGCAGTGAGCTATGATTGCACCACTGCTCTCCAGCCTGGACCGCAGAGCAAGACTCTGCCTCTAAATAAATAAAAATAACATGAAAAAATTTAAAAAGTGTACCATATATTCCTTCCCCAGCAACTACACATTATCATGTACCATTCTGGAACTAAAGTCTTAGCAGAGAAAATAGAGTTTAGAGTTTGAACAGCAAGATCTCAGGTGAACTTATAAAAACTTTTACAATTTTTACCCTTATACAAATTTTTTTCAAAACTAAAAACAATAAAGATGGCATAATAAATCAATGGGCTATCACTGGTGCTTATGAGTTCTTAAATGAGAATACACTGCAGGTACAATTTGCATTTACCATTCCTCACACACTCCAAACCCTTTCAAATTTTTATGTCCCACAGTTTCAACGATATGAAGACTATGAAGTGGTTTCCTTGTCCCGGGTCTTTCTGAACACCTTGTGCCTTTCTGACCTTGTGTCTTGAGGTTGCAGTTGTCCACCAGCTGATTCCCATCCCTCAGGGTTCACTGTGGTTGCAAAGATAAAATCATCTGTTTGATCAAGGTGGATAAATCTTTGAGAAGCCTTTAACTAATAAAAGTGCATGACAGCACAGGGGATTTTCCGAAGCCACTCACCTTCAGTTCTGCCCACAATGGCTCTGTGCTCGATCACAGCGGAGGATGATGGAACACTCCACCAAGCTCTGTCAGCCCCTCAACCCACTGGCCTCCACCCAGTAGCCCTCAGGGTCTCATATAAGGCCCTGCTTCACTGCCCTCACCTTCTTTTGACTCCCCCAGGGCCAACATTATGACTGAGTTGTGCGCTCCTCAATTCATACTTTGAAATCCTAACCCCTAGTACCTCAGAATATAATTCAGAATGTAACTTTGAAGATAGTTTATTTAAAGACGTAATTACAGTAGAGTGAGGCGCTATGGGTGAGCCCTAATCCAATATGACTAGTATCCTTATTTTGTTTTTTTAAAAAAGGAGATGACGACACAGATACTATCCAGAGGGATGACCAGGTGAAGAATGACCAGGTGAAGACACAGAAAGAAGACCCCCTTCTACAAGCCAAGGAGAGAGGCCTCAGAAGAAACCAACCCTCACAACTCCTTGATCTCACACTTTCAATCTCCAGACGGCGTGGAAATAAGTTTCTGTTCTTTAAGTCCCCCAGCCTGGGATACTTTGTTATGACCACCTCAGCAGATGGACACAACCAGGTTGCAAAAGCTACTCTCTCTGCCCTACCCTCCCTTTGCCTGTCTTTTGCCTTCCTTACTACCAGCTTCTTTTAATTGATTTTTATCAGGGACCAAGAGACGTTTGTGAATATTCAAATTAGAATTCTTAGACGTGAGAAAAGTATACTGGAAAAAAAAATCTATTAGGACTTCCCATAAGGCAGACCTGCGGCAGGGGCAGGGAGTGGCCAACTTAAAAGACCCTACAGGCATATCCAAACTGTGTTATGCATTGAGCAGGTTTTCAGGATAAGCCCAGAATGAGATCAAAATCCTCCTGCCAGATGACCTGATGGGCCAATGGACTGTGGGAATCTTTTAGAGTGTTAGATTTTCTTGAGGACAGGATGCCCGTGAGGAAGACAGCTTGTAGAGGGGTATCTGTAGGAAGAGAGAGAAAACACAAGAGGATCAGATGGGGTCTGCCGCCTTCCTCATCTGAGCCCTTGAAAGAGAGAGAAGCTGAGGGGGTGGTTTCCGTGTGAGGCTTTGCTTCCAAGCCAGGTGACAAAGTGGCAGGCAGAGTGAGGGAAGGGCATTTCTCCCTGTGCTCGATCACAGTGGAGGATGACAGAACACTCCACCAAGCTCTGCCAGCCCCTCGACCCACTGGCCTCCACCCATTGGCCCTCAGGGTCTCACATAAGGACATAAAGAACATATGAACATAAAGAACACTATGTCACATTGCCGGCACACGGGTTTTACGGCTGTGAGGATGCCAGAAAACATGACTGTGGGCAAGGGATCTAGAAGTGTTCATAGATCCATACAGTAGGCTCCTGGGGCTGCCCAGGTTTAGCTGGGGAGACTGGAGGTCTTATGGTCTGTGCTGCTGGTGAGGTGGCCTCATCTGCTCATACATGTGGGTGAACCTGAGGAACTTGGGACCATAAGCTCAGCTCCAGTTGAACATCCAGATGAATACTACCTTTTATGGATTCGAATGTTCTTGTCCTTCTCCCGATGAAGTATCAAGCGTCTTTCAAAGAAGGCTTACCATAACAGAAATATAAACTTATTCAAGACTTGGGTGAAGGAGACTGTTTTGATAACTCGAAAAGGCAGAGAAAATCTCAGGGAACTACATTCCACTTGGGAAGTGGATTGTTTCTTCTGTTTTGCTCAAATCAGTTCTAACGCACCCTAGTGGGCATGAATGAGCTGGAAGGGTTCTCCAAATCTGCTTTAGTGCATCGAACAATTAACAGGCTTCAACATACAGACCTCAAAATATGCACTGTAAGATGTTGTCAGGGAGACCTCTTATCAACCTTCCCATCACGGCTTTGCTTCCTTTCCTGTCTGAACCTGGGATCTAAGGTCCATGGCTCCAACCACTGTCTGCCTTCAGTGTTCTCTCATGTCTTCACGCCTTGCCTTTCCACAAATCCTGCTCAGCAAACCCCACTCTTAGACCAACTGGATGGTCCACCACTTCTGTGCTGGTATCTGCACTGATGAGTGCTGCCTAACCCCTACTCCTCTTTCCCCGGAAAGATGCTTTAGGCATTTATTCTGTAGGTTCAACACTTCCCTCTCCACTGGCTCCTTCTCCAAAGCCTACAAACATGCTCGACACTCTCCCTTTTTGAGAAGACAGTCAACTTTCCCTTAGCTACAGTCTATATAGCTCCCTCCTTTAATACTCAAACCCAGGAAAAATCAGTCTATATTTCATCTCCCTATCTTCAACCAGAGCAATCTGCTGTCCTGACCCATCTCCCTGGAACCTGCCCTGCACTCCACAGAACCCAGCACTCCACGGAGCCCGCCCTGCTGAGACAAAGGTTATCCATTCATGTTATAAATCCAACTGAATTTTTCTTTGGGACACATTTTACTTTCTCTTTCTGAAATATTTGACTCTGCTGCCTACCCCCTCTATACCCATTTTTTAAAAATATGAAATTTCCCTTTGCTTTATACACATATTTTAATCTGGCTTCCACGACACTGCTCTCTCCTGAAATGTCCTCTGTCTCTTGCTTCTAGGTGAAGCTTGCCTCATCTTTTCTGATTCAAATATCATTTCCCAGTGAATCCTTTCTTGATCCTCCCAGATAAAAATGGCCACTCCCTCCTTCCTATCATTTAGCAGAGACTTTCTTACAGTCCCCATAGCACATCACTGACTGTGTCCACGAGCCTCTGAAAGGAGGCAACTGGAGATTGCTTGTGTTATTTAAATATTCTCAAATGCACAAAAGCCAAAATGTGCCCAAGTGAAACAAAGTGCATCTCAAGGCTGGCTTTATCCTAGGCGTTGCTGATTTGTGAGCCTGATCTAGAAGAACATCCAAGCAACAGTTGGGAATAGGCCCAGTGCCCTTTCAAGGGTGGAGCCTAGGAATCCCAAAGATTGCTTCAGAGTTGCTAACTTTTTTTCTGGCTGGTTTTATGAGCAGAAGACTTTAAAGGTAGCAGTTCCTGAAATATGCCATAAGAAAAAGAGAGTGCCAAGTATATAAACAAGTGTAACTTTTTAAAAAGTTATTTGTAATCAAATATTTTAGAAGACACTGGGCGAAACAAAACAGCTAGATCCATATACGGAGAAGGTAGCTGTATGTGTCTTAACTCCACCTGTCTCTTGCACCAGTCTGACTTCAGACACAAGGTTTGGAACTGAATGAATTACAGGTACAGTTTGCAGGTGATTTTGATGCTCTAGATCTAGTTCTTTTGGAAAAACTTGTTAAAGAACATATATTCGTGTCACTCCAGTTCGAACTGGTTTGGTGTGTGTGTAGTTTGTTTATTGAGGGGGGAAATGTGCTTTACTTTATAGTTCAGTCAAAATTAATGGATAATGAGGATAATAATTTGAGCCTATTAAATCCATTTATTTTCATCTGCAGTAGCCTCATTCCTCACTGCACTGCAGCTCCCAAACCAAGAGCACAGCCTGGCAAACCTGCACAAGGTTCCTTCCACCATATAGAGAAGCCGCTGCTGCCTGTGACTGACAGGTTGGGAGGTCTACTGCCCTGGGGAAGAAGGCAGTCACGGCAGAAAAGGAGTTTCCAACAGAAGAAGTAGAAATCCTGGTCAAGCCTCCTATGGAGTGTAGAAAGAAGAGAGGCAGAGGAATTGCAGCAAATGATCAGGTACGTGTGTCCTGACCCTCCAGCAGCCCAGAGCAGACGAGAAAGCCCCCAGCAGAGGGGTTTAGTTCCCTCTCCCTCTCTGGAACTCCACAAGGGTGATCTCTCATGGAATGAGCCTGAGGCTGCAGTCGAAAGAAAAAAATGATGGTGTGGTACTGTTCGTGTGAGTGTCTGAGGTGGCAATCCTGACATTCCCTTGGCATTCATGCACCATGGAAGAATCCAGAAATTTCCTGTACCCCATGGGAACAAGAAAGGTGGTCAAAGAAGTGAACTGGAACACTGCCAGAAAGGTTGCAGAAGCCTTGGCAAAGTGACCAGTAGCCCTTGAAGGCTGCAGGGCAGAACTTCCAGATCAGGGATTGCTCACGAATGACAACCTGAACCCAGGAATGGGTCTGCAGTGCTGGCAGGAGCTGAAGGGGAGGCCTATTGAGGAGAGCTGCCAACCCTACTTGAGCTAAGAGAACAAACCACAAAAATAACTGATAGGGGTCTCATCAGCAGAAAGCAGCTCAGAGACCAGATCCAAGCAGTACACAACCCTACCCAGATCACCAAAGAGACCAGAATATTCCAGGGACACTACACAGGCCCAAGATCCCTGTCCTTCACCACTGAGGTCACACAGGCTCCTGGCCCTGCACACCAGACATCATGGAAAGAAGAGGGAGCGAGGTAGAAACAGCTCAGATATTGTATGTGTTATCTGTCGCTGTGTGACAAATTAGCCCAACAGTTATTGGCTTAAAACAACTCTAAATATATATTATCTCCTATAGCTTGTCCGAGTCAGAAATGTGAGAGTGGTTTAGCCATTGCCTCTGTCTCGAGGATCTCTCATGTGGCTGCAGTCAAGATTTGGACCAGGGTGACAGTTATCTGGAGCTTTGACTGGCATTGGAGGATCCACTTTGAAGGTGGCTCACTCACTCGTCTTCCAAGTTGGTGCTGGTTGTTGACAGGGAGTTGCTGCTTAAGTGTCTTCATGACATGACAACTGGCTTCCTCCAGAGAGGGTGATCCAAAAGACCAAAGTGGAAGCAGCATTGTCCCCAGAATTCTGACAGCATGACTTCGGCCATATTCTAGTGGTCACAAAGAAAAGCCCTGGTGTCACGATGAAGGGGATCCCGCAAGGGTACGAATCCCAGGAAGTGAGGCTCATTGGGGGCCATCTTGAAACATGGTTACCACAGTGAGGAATTCATTTTTGAACTGACTGAAAAATCACCAGAAAAGTGATTGATTTAACCAGAAGAGGTTGGAAAGTTCCTGACTATGAAAATTCTAAAATTCTGTCATACGAAGACACTTACATCTTTAACTTGAAATTTTTCATTTTTCCTGATCTACCCAGGCTTGAGAAGCAAAATTGATAATGGTTAGTTGGAGAACTGTAAAAAAAAAAAAAAAAAAAATTAAAATGTAATGTTTGCCCAGTGCTGAGTTGTGGCTGTTCAAGCAAATCTATTTCAGATGTTAATTTGGGTGAAGTTCCATTTTTGACAAATGAATATAGTTTTTTCTAGTTTGGGGTTTGTGGTTTCTTTCAGTTCATATCTAGTAGGCTTAGTTCTTGATTACTTTTCTTAAAAAATGGATAAAGTATCTGATCTTCCCCTAAAGGAATTTATACTATGGCTCAGAAGAGAAGAAAAGAAAAAGGAAAGGTGTAGTTTCACAAAGACGCATCCTCAGAGCAGCACACTTTTTGGTCAGAGGTGAATGGTGTCAGTTGGTGGTCAGACGAAGCAGGCTCTCTGATGTTGCCAGCTTCAAGCACCAAGAAGGAAATCTCAAATTCCTCTTACTTCCTAACCACCAGGCAACCGAGGCCCCATCACATCAGGATCCCACTCCTCACTAGAAAAAGCCTTCCATGAAAGGGGAAAAGAACAAACCACCTCCTGAGAAGGATCTCAGATAACAGTCTTACCCCGTGACTTCTGGAGAAAGAAAAATCTCCATAGGACGTGGGGGCTTGGGAATGTGTTTTCCTGAAACAGGATTCTAATAACATACCAGAGCTCAGATTTCCAGGATAATTGAAACCTTTGGTATTAATTGGAGAAGGGGAGGGAATGGGGGAGCTGGGGAATGCAGAAACTTTTTCCTGCCATTGCTGGAAAACTTCATGCTGTGGTTTTGGGGAACAAATAGCCCAGTGTTTCACTGCTTTGGGTCCGAAGGGTGGAGGGGAGGTGGGCACTGAGTGGGGAGGGAGATATGCTCTGTTCAGTCCACCTTTCAGGTTGGCAAGGGACGGCTCAGCTTGGTGCACTGGAGAAGGAATTCCTAAATCCTTATTATTTCTAAACTTGTGGCTTTGCACCAGAGGCACAAGTTTTGGTCACATGCACATGTTGTAAATTTGTCCATCAGCAGATATCATGATTTTCAGAGGCAACTGGCACATCAAGTAGAAATCAATAAATAGTGTTCAGTGACAATGAAAGGTAATTATGCAGCTTTTTAAAAAGTAGCGTTATCGTTGCTACACCATAAGGAGAGAAGAGCAGTCCAATGGGCAGAAGTGAGAACTACAAATAGAATTTTTCACTTAGCATTCATTTGGTCTTCTACTTGTATCCACTTAATAAACACTGTGTCTCTGGCCAGGCTGGTCTCGAACTCCTGCCCTCGTGATCCACATGCCTTGGCCTCCCAAAGTGTTGGGATTACAGAAGTGAGCCACCGTGCCCGGCCCTTCCTTCCTTTTAAATAACCTCCATAGGCCTGAGAGTTCACATTGGAGGACACCAGGACCACTGATTCAGAAAAACTTGCAGAAAGACACTCGGGGGAGGGTGTAGGATCCAGGGTATCTTAGCCTAGAGCTGACTTCCCCAAGGAACTGTGGTGTGGCGAGGATCTTTAAACTCTGCATTTAGGAGCCTTCATACTGATGTTCATCAAGTTGATAACTATAACCTTTTTGAATTATTCCTGAACAGGACAGCTGCCTCAGTTTCCTCGTCTGTAAAGTGGATATAATTTGATATCTTACAGGGCTGTAAAAATTTAATGAAAAGATATCTAAAGTGGCCAGCACAGTGCGCTTTATGAAAGTGTAACTTCCATCCCTGGCCTAATCTACGATATGAAGGAAATGCTATTTGCCTCATAAAGTTATGAGAATTCAATGAAAAACCTATAAAAGTATTAAATATTGTATCTGGGATATGGAAGATTTAGCAGTATTAGCTCAGAAATTATTATTTCTATTATTAGTAGTATTAGTAGCCTGTCCTATAATTTCAGAGAAGAATAAATGTCTCCCTGCTCTTACTTCTACACTCCACCCTCCCCACCCTGCCCTCACTTGCACATGTCAGTGAATCTTTGTGAAGCTTTGGGACCTAGGCTTCTGCACTTCCTTGCCCCACGGGAATGTGAGAAGCTTTTCATTTGTTTCAGGGGCTGCATTTATATAATGGATACCCAGATGTTTGCTTGGCAAGTCAAGACTCAGCTAAGGAAATTCATTTTTGGGTTGAATAGGCAGACAGGACCGATGCTAAAAACACGAGAATGGGAGCAAAAGGGGGTTCAAGTCACTATAAGGCTGGCAGAGGCCAGGGTTCTGCTCCAAGGCAACCCCTGGGAGGTGGCGAGACTTTATAGGGCTGCAGCTGGGTGGCTATGCAGGAGAACCGGCTCCATGATGCACGGCCCAGGGTGCCTCCATAAAGGTCATGGCACCACCCAACTGATGTGAAGCACAACATTGCATAATAGGTGGCCAACAACAAACCTGGTGATCCTCATAGACAAAGAACCAAGCCTGTCTGTTGCCTGCCTTCCCTTTCAGTCCATTTCTACCCCACCTGGACCCCGAGACCATAAGAACAAATCATCCAGCAGTCTGAAAACTTCTGTAATAAAACGAGTCTACCATGTTAGAAGAGCCTTGTTATTTCTGGTGGGCGCAAGGGTGTGGGAGTGGGCGGCATGATTTCTTGCTCTGCTCAGACTTCATCAGGTAGAAAACCGTCTCCCCAGTTTACCCTCTTCTTAGTTCTCTTCCCAAGCTATCTCAGGGATAAATAAGAGACAGAGCATGTCTCCTAGGGTCACATTTCATGTCAGCCCCCTTCCCATCCACCTGAAGTCCAGCTCCCCCTTGGTTGAACCTTCCCCTTCCATGGGGACTATGCATGTTTCAGTAAGGCAATGCTGGGAGACCCTTCAGAGTGTGTCCTGAACTGTAGATCAACTGTTTCAAATTACAACTCCAGTTCCAGGCCGGTGTTTTTTTGTGCCAAATCCTAAGAAAGAGATAAATGGAAGAGGAGGAAGAAAATGGTATGTGAAGTCTTAATTGATGTTGAACATCTGATGGGACTTCTGCGAGGGCCCTGCTTTTGTCCAGAATACTTGGGGGTCCTTGTTTGTTTTTGCACTTATAGAATGCTTCTATTTATATCTGCTATGTTTTCAAAAAATCAAAGGGGAGATGCATTGTTAAGAACACAAAGATCACCACAGAGCTGGATGGTCTATAAGGGAGCAAAATGAAGTTTCTATCAATACACAGAAAACAAAATGCTTCAAGCAGAAACGGGTGCTGGTGGCCACAGGAAGGTGCCTTAGTCATTGAGCTCTCGGGCTGGGGAGGTGTTTAGGGTTTCTTTGAAGCCTCCACGGCTGTTATTAGATTTGTCTGGAGCTTGTTGAATACTATTTATTAGAGGCCTTCTTGATGCTTCTTCTGTCTGATAGGTCATAACTTTTATGACACAGAAATAACCAAAATGAAGAAGCAGAGACAACTCAGAGATTATTTGCCAGTTCTCCAAAGACTGCCAGCCATTTCCACGAGGAGCATGCTGGATAATTTATGAAAACAGAAATCGTCTGTGGGAGTGAAATACAGCCCCATGCGCTGCAGCAGTCATAATGAACAAAATAAATTCCATCGTTATGCAGATGTTGCACAAGGGCTGTCAGTGTGTCGAGGAAAATTTACTCCCTGTCCCCGAGGCAGGAGACAAACAATTCCACGAAATGAAAAACAATGCGGAAGGAGAACGTAGAACCTGGCTTTCTGTCTTCTCGAAGAAGTTTTGCTGTACGTGTGGAGCAGTGAACTTGGACAACAGTAGAGTCCAATGAACCATTTATTTCCTGCAGCATTAGACAGGGAAACTTAAAAAAAAAAATTCTGGTATTTTGACCTGGAAACATTAATTAAACACTAGGAAAATAAGGAAAAGACGATCCATTTGAGTGACAGGTCTATGTGTCTGCAAGTGAAACTAAAATATTGGTTGTTTTGAAGAAACCAAATTATTCCCTTCCCCTTGGCGCATATGACTTTAAAGAAATTCAGAAATCATTCTCTCCAATGTCTACAGTTACATGTGGCCCAAACACTGCCAAAAGTCTCTGATTTCTGGCATAACCTGGAAGAGTAATCTCCCCTCACCTCTGTGTCTGGTTTTGCTAAAATTTAGAAACTGCTGTGGTTCCTTAGCTAGTGCCAAGGAGTTATATATTCTGGTCTCCAAGCTACATGCAATTACTTGTCTTGGCTGTAATCTGTCTGGTACTCAACCTCCTTGGTAACTTTGCCATAAACCATATCTCTCTCTTTTTTATTTTATTTGGGGGAGGACGGTATTTCCTCACCAGGAATTACGTTCCCATTAGATGGCTTCATTATTCGTTATGACTGCCAATTTGCCTTGCTCCAGAAACCTTTTATGGATCAGGAGTGGTTGTGCCCTGGCCGTCCAGCCCTGTGGATTCCCCCTTGAATTCCATTAACCAGGCCTCCCCACCATCTGGAATGCACCTGACTTGTCACCCGAATAGTATGTGTTGGCTCTTTTTCTTGGCCTCTTTTTTTTTTCCTCTTAATAATCGCCACTGAAAAGCAGAGGTAAATAGTAATTTTACTACGGAATATTCTGAAGGAGAAGGTGGCTTGCTTTTCCTTTTCTGAATTTTCAGGAAATCATAGAGATCAGTAGGTAGATAGAGCTAGTCTATCATTCTACGATACTTTCAGAAGTATGTAATTTACACTGCAGATATCACTAACAAATTATCCAGCTCAGATTGGTTGGAGGGTAGGTAAAATGTCTTTCCACATTTCCTAAAACAAAGAGAATCGTGCTAGGCAATGAATCTGCAGTGGGCCTAGACCGGTGACCATTTATTTAGAAGCCAAATAACTTCAGTCCTGCAGCTTTGCTTAGCTCCGGGTTCTCTCACAGTTTCTGCATAAATTTACCATAAAATCATAAAGCAAAACATAAAAAGAGAATGGTAACAGTAAAGTAGCTATGCCACAAACTCAACAACGATTATATATTCTATCTAGGGCACACTTAACTCTCTAATTGCTAATTGTAATTTAAATGAAAACATGTGTTTCTTGTTAAATTCATCAACTACATTTTTAAGTGCTGCCGAAGAGAACTGTGATTAAGGCTGAATGTTCACCTCACGGTTTTGACAACCACAGGGCTCAGGCGTTATCAGGATATCCTCTGAAGTTAGAGGCCCTTGATGGCCATGTGGCTTTCCAAAACCAACAACTCTGCAGGACAGAGAGGAGAGCATCTGGGAGAAATTACTCAGCTGGGATTCTTTGCACACCGTGTGATGCTGTCTCCCATGTGTCCAATTGTGACGACCCTGAGAAGTTCATCTGGATCCAGCTCTATTTGGAATCCAGCCCTTTGCTTGCTAAAGATACTCTGTGGATTTATAAAATCCTGACAAACTGGAGCAGCCTCCCAGCAAAGGAGCTGATTCCCTTCTGGTCTCAGGGAAGCCGTCCATCCCCCATGGGACCAAGAAACGCATTAAATAAGGCGATGACTGTAAAGATCGCCTGTGCCGAGTAAGGATTTCAAGCCACTGTCTGGCACAGAGCGATCGCTCGTAAACACTGGTCTCATCCTTTTACCTGATAAGCACGATTTGATATTAAGAATGGAAAGAACAATGTCTTTTCTCTTCCTATGTCCAATAATTCATTTTTAGTTAAATAAATAACTCTATATATTATGATGCAAAAAAATTGAAAGAAACATTTAAAAGCTCCTTCATTCAGCTATTTTAGGGAAAAGCCCATCTTTTTTTTTTTTCTTTGAGATGGAGTCTCGCTCTGTCACCCAGGCTGGAGTGCAGTGGCGTGATCTCGGCTCACTGCAAGCTCCGCCTCCCGGGTTCACACCATTCTCCTGCCTCAGCCTCCTGAGTAGCTGGGACTACAGGTGCCCGCCGCCACGCCTGGCTAATTTTTTGTATTTTTAGTAGAGACGGGGTTTCACCGTGTTAGCCAGGATGGTCTCAATCTCCTGACCTCGTGATCCGCCCACCTCGGCCTCCCAAAGTGCTGGGATTACAGGCGTAAGCCACCGCGCCCTGCCGGGAAAAGCCAATCTTAAGTCATAAAAATCTAGGATAGAGGACATTTTTTTAAGAGTGGTACAGTAGTTCCCCCTTATCTGCAGGAGATATGTGCCAAGACCCTGGAGGAATGCCTGAAACATCAGGTAGTACTGAACCCTATAGATACTGTTTTTTTTCTAAACTTACACATCTATTCATTTCAATATTAGTTTTAGGCACAGTATGACATTAACAACAATAACTAATAATAAAACAATTATAACAATAAGCCAGCATCACTACTCTTGCATTTTGGGGCCATATTTTAAAAATTGTTTTGAAATAGGGGTCTCACTCTGTCACCCAGGCTAGAGAGTAGTGGCATGATCTCAGCTCACTGCAACCTCCACCTCCTGAGCTAAAGCGATTCTTGGGCTTCAGCCTCCCAAGTAGCTGGGACTACAGGTGTGCACCACCACACCTAGCTAATTTTTGTATTTTTTATAGAGATGGAGTCTCATGTTGCCCAGGCTGGTCTCCAACCCCTGAGCTCAAAGCAGTCCACCCACCTGGACCTCCCAAAGAGCTGGGATTACAAGCATCAGCCACCTCACCCGGCCTGGGGCCATTTTTAAGTCAAACTAAAGGTGACTGATACACAAGCTCTGCAGTGCTGTGACAGTAGACCTGAGAACCAAGATAGCAACTAAGTGACTCACGGACAGCTGGTGTCTGCAGTGTGGAGACACTGGACAAAGGGATAACTCACATCCCAAGCAGGACAGGGTGGAACAGCCCAAGATTTCACCACCCTACTCAGAACAGGCACTCAATTTAAAACTTATAAATTGTTTGGTTTTGGACTTTTCCATTTAATGTTTTCAGACCGTGGTTGACCACAGGTAACTGAAACCGTGGAAAGTAAAATGGCAGAAAAAAAAAATGCAGATAAGTGGGAAATATTGTACTGTTGTTTTCAATTAGACATAGCAATTGGAATGAATCAAATTGCTTTTCCTTTTTAAAAATTGAGCTAACAAGAATGATTTGTGAATAGCTTATTGATCCATGTGGAAGAATATTAGCAAAGTGTTTGGGAGTCTGTAATAGTCTGGGCTGTGGAGAGGAATAGGAGATGTATCTGTCAATCATTCAATCGAGATTTATTATGAGGAATTGACTCACTCAGTTATGAAGGCTGAGTAATAAGGCAAGAGAAGACCAATGCCCCAACTTGAAGACAGGCAGAGAGAGCGAATGGTCCCTTACTAAGTCATTTGTTCTATTCAGCTCTTTGATGGATTGAATGAGGCCCACCTCCATTAGGAAAGGCAATCTGCTTCACTCAGTTTACCAATGCAAATAGTAATCTCACCCAGAAACACTCTTACTGACACACTCAGAATAATGTTTAACCAAATATCTGGGCACCCAATAACCCAGTCAACTTGACTCATAAAATTGACCATCATAGAGACTAAGATGATTTCATGAGATATTTAAAGCACTGTCTCTACAGCATGCCATGGAAAATGCATGGCTTTGGAGTTGGGCAGATTTGCACTGAGTTCTGGCTCCTCCACTTACTAAGTCTGGGTCTCTAGAAAGCCATGTGACCCTGCTGAGACTCCGTTACCTCAGTGGCCCAATGTGGACGATAATAACTGTCTGCTCAGTTCATTGGGTGTGTCACTTGAGTGGTTCAAAGTGCAACCAGTATGCTTCAGTCCATCAGTCCACTCGGGAGCATAGCCCCAGCTGTGATTCATGTGGGACCTGGGGAATTAGGGTCTGTTTTTTCCACCGTGACAATGATGAGAGCATTGGTGGCCAAAGATGAGTAACTGAGAGGGTTGGTCCAGTTGGCCAGTCTCCATTCCAGCCACTTCTTGTTCACGTATCCACATGTTCTTGTTCACTTGGTGGATTGCACCCTGACCCTAGAGTACTGGATCAGAACTGCCCAGGCATGTGCTAACTCACAGACCCAGGGCAACCCTAACCTTCTTTCCCCTCAGTCCCCTCTTGAGGTCTAGAAGCTTCTCCTTTGGATCGGTTATGGGCTGAATTATGTTCCCCCTCCCCAAATTTATTATTTGAAGTCCTAGCCCTCAGTACTTCAGAATGTGACTGTATTTGGAAATAGATCATTTAAAGAGGTAATTAAGTTAAAACAAATCCATTAGGCTGAGTCCTAATCCCACTGGACACACAGAGAGACACCAGGAGTGCATGCACAGAGGAAAGGCCATGTGAGGGCACGGGGCTTCCATCTGCAAGCCCAGGAGGGAAGTCTCAGGAGAAACCAACCTGCTATAGGATCTTTAAAATATCACGCATGTAATCCCAGCACTTCGGGAGGCCGAGGGGAGTGGATCACGAGGTCAGAGATCGAGACCATCCTGGCCAACATGGTGAAACCCTGTCTCTACTAAAATACAAAAAAATAGCCTAGTGTGGTGATGCGTGCCTCTAGTCCCAGCTACTCGGGAGGCTGAGGCAGAGGAATCACTTGAACCCAGGAGGCGGAGGTTGCGGTGGGCTGAGACCGCGTGACTGCACTGCAGCCTGGGCAACAGAGCAAGACCCTGTCTCAAAAAAAAAAACACAAAAAAAACACAAAAAAAACAGAGGTCTGTTTATGTCCCCTTTCTCTGGTAGTAGTTGGCTGCCTGTAGGCAGCAACATTCACTGTTTCAGTGATAACTTTCCTTCTGAACACCTGAGATGGTGACTTTCTAATACTTCATTAAACCGAGCAGAGGAAGAAAATACAAGTTCACTCTAGCTCAGCTACCTGCTATACTGCAAAACACTTGCCAAACTGTGTGCCACAGAGTCGTCAACTGACACGACTCCTTCTCTGGGTTTAACCTGTACTTTATTTTTTCTCCCCGCTGCAGCTAGGCAACCCCTTACTACTCTCCTGAGACCTGATGGAAATGATCTTTTTTTTTTTTCTTGAAGTTTCCTTTGGGGGCCTCAAAAACACAGAATTGAATTCATCATAATTCTTGGGTTTTGAAACACTCTGGTCATTGGCTCAGGTCCTCCTTTTAAGGAAGTAAATAATTACAATATAAATAAATTCCCTTGAACTTCTCATCCAACATGAGAACCAAAACCCTGAGAGTCATTTATACCTTTTATATCCATCCTGCCTCCCCACTTCCTCACCTGGTAATGGCAGTAGTGAAGCTTGTGCTTATCATTGTTTACTGTATTAGTTAGAGTTCTCCAGAAAAACAGAACCAATAGGATATCTATCTACCTATCTATCTATCTATAAATAAATTTATTATAAGATATCTGCTCATGCAAGCGTTGAGGCTGAGAAGTCCCACCATCTGCCATCTGCAACCTGGAGACTCAGGACAACCAGTGATGTTGTCTGAAGACCTGAGAACCAGAGAGCCAATGGTGGAGATTCTAGTCCGAGTCTGAAGGCCTGAGAACCAGGAGTGCTGAGGGGCAGGAGAAGATCAATGTCCCAGCTCATACGCTCAGGCAGAGAGCGAATCCAACCTTCCTTCATCTTCTTGTTCTAGTCAGGCCCTCAGTGGATTGGACACTACCCGCTCACGATGCAGAGGGCCACCTGCTTTACTCAGTCCACTGATTCAAATGTGAATCTTTCCCCGAATCACCTTCACAAACACACCCAGAATCTTGAATTAGATATCCGGGCATTCCATGGTCCAGTAAAATGGACACATGAAATTAAGCATCACATTTACTTTTTAAGAAGATAGTTTTTATCCTGTATTCCTAAAAAGCATATTGTTCAGTCCACTTTGTCTACATTTCCAATTTGTTGGCATAAACGTGTTCATAGTTTTCCCTACTTTCTTTTTAGACCTTACTTTATCTGTCACTGTGTCCATTTTCATTCATGGTATTAGTACTTCTGTCTTCTCTTTCTCTCTTGATCAGCCTTGCCAGAGTCATCGAGTTTGAGGGTTGTTCACTCACTGGCATGCCCTGGTGAAAGGCACAGACACTCCCTCTACGGCATGGGCACAGTTCCCCTGTGGTTAGCCCCAGCCCCTGCCCTCCACAGGGCTGCCCTTCCACTCAGACCTGGGCCCAGGTGCCCAGCGGCCCCTTCTCCCTCTCCATGGCCAGCTTCTCTCCAGTATGGACAGAGGCTCCTGCATCTACCCATTGCCATCACACTTCCTACCCTCAGTTCAAGCTTCTTTTTTTTTTTTTTTTTTGAGACGGAGTCTCGCTCTGTCGCCCAGGCCGGACTGCGGACTGCAGTGGCACAATCTCGGCTCACTGCAAGCTCCGCTTCCCGGGTTCACGCCATTCTCCTGCCTCAGCCTCCCGAGTAGCTGGGACTACAGGCGCCCGCCACCGCGCCTGGCTAATTTTTTGTATTTTTAGTAGAGACGGGGTTTCACCTTGTTAGCCAGGATGGTCTCGATCTCCTGACCTCATGATCCACCCGCCTCGGCCTCCCAAAGTGCTGGGATTACAGGCGTGAGCCACCGCGCCCGGCCCAGTTCAAGCTTCTTTACGCTGTATAAAATGTCCCTCAAAATTAGAAATAAAAAAGTTTCCAGATACTTGATCTGTTATTCCTTCTTTCTTCTAATCAATTGAACACATACTTACTGCAGGTTCATATCTGTTCTGGGCACTGTGCAAAAACACTAGGATATAGCAAATGACAATAATGTCCTCCAGAAACTTACAGACTGCTGGGGAGAAACAGCTAGGTGATCTGATGATTTCAATGCAACGCGACATGCTCTAAAACAGTTAGACCTGGCCCTGTGTTTCTGAATGAGCCACTATTCCCTAAATGCGTCAAACCTTGGCAGACATATCTCGATCTCCCTGGAATGCTCTCTCCTCCACAACTCAGCCTTGTGGGTTACACATTCTTGAAGACAGAGCCTGGAAGTCCCCTGTCACGGCAGCTTGCTCAGTTTTCCCAAGCAGAATCTGTCATTGCCTTTGCACAATCCTGTAGCACCCTGGACACACTGCTTTTGGCCCACTGACTGCACTAGACTGATTGTTTATGCATGTTCCCCATGAGACTGTGAGTTCTGGAGAGACAGAAGAAGTCTTGATCAGCAGTATATGGACAGTGCTGAGTTCATTTCAAGAGACAGTCATTGAGATAAACACATGTAGAAATGAATAAATAATTGAATAAAGCTGTAGCAAGTGAAAGATAAGTTTTGCCCCCAGCCTCTTCCAAATATTGTGTAACTTAGGGAGTTTGCTTGAAAGTGAAAATCAAATAACTGCCTTTGGAAATTAAGGAAGGAAAATATACCCCTTAACATTCCAGTGTCTTTTCTAAATAAGTTAAAATTTGGGAAAGGGAGTTTTTGGCAGCAAGTGCATAGCAGAACAAATAGAGAATTTCAACTTGATTATTTAAATCAATGGTTAATTTAAAAAAAAAACAGAATTTGGGCAAACATTATGAACACAGACATATTTTTCTTGGAGTAGGTGGAATTTCAGATGGTGGATTTGTTGCTCAGGGCTGCCGCAAAACAAAGTACCATGAATTGGGTGGCTTCAACAACAGCAATTTACTTATTGCCTCACAGTTCTGAAGGCTGGAAGTCCAAAAATCAAAGTGTGGCCAGCGTTGGTTGTCCTCAGGGCCATAGATGGACTGATCTGCTCCAAGCCTCTCTCTTTGGCTTGTAGATGGTCATCTTCTCCCTGTGTTTCTTCCCTCCATTAGTTGTGTCATGTCTCTGCTCAAATTTCTCCTTTTCATAATGACACCAGTTACATTGAACTAGGGCCTACACTAATGACCTCATTTTTTCTTTATTACATCTGTAAAGGCTATCTCTGAATAAGGTCATATTCTGAGCTACTAAGGGTTAGGACTCTAATATATGGTTTGTTTGGTTTTTTTTGAGTCGGAGTCTTGCTCTCTTGCCCAGGCTAGAGTGCAGTGGCACCATCATAGCTCACTGCAGCCTCGAACTCCTGGGCTCAAGTGATCCTCCACCTCAGCCTCCTGAATCACTGGGATTACAGGTGTGAGCCACTACACCCAGCTAGGACTCTAATAGATCTGTTTTGGATTCAAGGACTATGGTCTTTAGAAGAAGAAAAGAAATGTATTTAGGAGTCCCTGAGCAGGACCAAGGAAGGTTAAAGTATACAAAGAACAGGCAGCACCAAATTAATAAACCAAACCAATGGGAAATTTACCCAATTAAATTGGATTGAGCAAAGCAGGCTAATTGAGGTTCGTCAGCTTTTGGCAGAAAGAGCGACTCAGAAGCTCAGTCTTATCAGTCAACATATAATTTCACATAAGAGTTTTATAAATATATTTCTGTGGTTGAACATAGTGATTTGAACACAGGCTTTTATTTCTTGCTTTTCCTGAAGCCTGCTACAATTATGGTAGAAGTAAAAAAAATAAAAGGTATTAACACATAGTAACCTAAAGAATGCCAGGTGATGCAGGAATAGACAAGAGATGTGAAAAATATTTGGAAAATTGAAAACAGGTGGATGGGGGATGTGATACCCAAGTATGCTCCCCAGTGAAGCTCATTGATTCACACGGTAAAACCCCGGGGAGACTCAGGAATTGGAATGTTTGCTCTCTTGGAAGTTAAATCTTTAAATATCATTTCACAACCCTCAATTTAAATCAAGTTCATAACTTGGCCCTAATTTCCAGACTTGAGATAGAAATCTCAATGGCTTCTTTGACATCTCCAATTGGATGTCTTTAACGACACCTCAAAACTTCACATTTCCAAACAAAATTCTGGTTCTATCCTTCTTAAAACCCGCAATCTTCTCACCTCACTCTTCCACAACTCCTTTTTCCCCATGGTTTAGGCCAAAACCTTAGAATCAGGAATTTCTGTGTCATTCCTACTTTTCCTGCAAAGTACAACTGAAAACCCTAAAAACTGTACGTGAAACAAATATAAGAAGACTTTGAAAGGTAGAGAGAAGAAAGCAGACTGTCTAGGGACCTCAAAACTCAAGGAACAATGTGATGGTGAGTTTCCTGGGTTTTTATTTTTGCCCCATGTATTCTAGACTTGCTGCTGAAGAAGGCTACACTAAGAAACACCGAAGACACAGACATAAAAAATATCTTGAGTCAAAGATTGAGGAAATGGGCAGCCTACCAAGACAGAAAATATTTAGACAAGAACTGCTCTGCTCCAGGCATACATCACAGGAAAAACTGTGACCCACCTTCACCCACACAAGAAAAGACCTCGTAGACAGCCTAGAATTTCACCCTCACAAAGCTGTGAGGTGACCCTCTCCCTGCCTTCAGGGTAGTATCAGAAGAAGCCCAATAGCAAGTGAGCCCTTTTACCACCACCCACTGAGGCCACCCTGAATACAATATCAGTAGTAATTGGATGTGAAACTGGAGCTCCCACCCTTGCCCAGTAATAATGAAAATGGTTTATTACATTTTAGTAAAGGTGAAGATAGGCAGAGGGGATTAAAAAACACAATCTAACTATATACCAACTACAGAAACTTGCTGCCCATATAATATAAATAGGTTGACAGTAAGTGGATGGAAAAAGATTAATCAGGCAAATATTAATGAAAGAAAGTAGAAATGGCTATACTAATACAAATGTAGACTTAGAGCAAATAAAATTCCTAGAAATAGAAAGAGACATTTTATAATGACAAAAGGCACAATCTACCAAGAAGACACAGCAATTCTAAATGTGTATGCCAAATAAAAGAGTTGTAAAATATGTGAACACAAACTGATAGAACTGAAGAGAAATAGACAAATCCACAATTATAGTTGGAGACTTCAACACTCCTCTATCAAAAATTGATATAAGACACAGAAGAATTCAACAACACCATCAACCAATAAGATCTAATTGGCATTTATAGAATGCTCCACTCAACAAGAACAGATACAAATTCCTTTCAAGTAGTCATGAAATATATAGCAAGATAGACCACATCCTGGGCCATAAAACAAACCTCAACACATTTAAATAATTGAAATTATACAGACTGTTTTCAACCACAATGGAATCAAAGTAGAAATCAATATCAGAAAGAAAACAAAAATATCTCCAAATACTTAGAAACTAAAGTACACACTAAATAATCCATGAGTCAAAGAGTAAATCTCAGGGAAAATTTAAAAAATAACTACATTGAACTGAATGATAAATACAACATATCAAAATTTCTAAGATACAACTAAAGCAGTGCTAAGAGGCAAATTTATAGTACTAAATACATGCGTTAGACAAGAGGAAAAATCTCAAATCAATAATCTAAGCTCCAAACTCAAGAAACTAGAAAAGGGAGAACAAAATAAACCCAAAGTAAGCAGACAGAAGGCACTAGTACAGAGCAGAAATCAATTAAATGAAAAACAGAAAAAACAGTAGAGAAAACCAATGTAACCAGGATCTAGTTCTTTGAAAAGCTCAATAAAATCAATAAACCTCTAAGAAAACTGATAAAGAAAAAATAGAGAAGACACAAATTACCAAAATAAGAAATTAAACATGGGAGGCCAGGTGCGGTGGCTCACGCTTATAATCCCAACACTTTGGGAGGCCCAGGCTGTTGGATCACTTGAGGTCAGGAGTTCGAGACCAGTCTGGCCAACATGGCAAAACCCCATCTTTACTAAAAATACAAAAATTATCCAGGTGTGGTAGTGCACACCTGTAATCCCCAGCTACTCAGGTGGCTGAGGCAGAAGGATTGCTTGAACCCAGGAGGTGGAAGTTGCAGTGAACCAAGATCACACCACTGGCACTCCAGCCTGGGTGACAGAGTGAGACTCTCTCTCAGACAAAAGAAGAAGAAAGAAAGAGAGAGAGAGAGAGAAGGAAGGAAGGAAGGAAGGAAGGAAGGAAGGAAGGAAGGAAGGAGGGAAGGGAAGGGAAGGGAAGGGAAGGGAAGGAAAGGGAAGGGAAGGGAGGGGAAGGGAGGGGAGGAGAGGGGAGGGGAGGGGAGGGGAGGGAAGGGAAGGGAAGGGAAGAGGGGAAGGAAAGAAGGAAAGAAAAAGAAAGAAAGACAAGAAACAAAGAAAAATTAAACATGAAACATTACTAGGAACCCTGCAGATATTAAAAGGATCATAAGAGAATACTATAAACAATTCTACACACATAAATTTAACAACTCAGATGAAATAGACGAATTTCTCAAAAAATACAAACTACCAGCCATGCACGGTGGCTCACGCCTGTAATCCCAGCACTTTGGGAGGCTGAGGCAGGCAGATCACGAGGCCAGGAGTTTGAGACCAGCCTGGCCAATGTGGTGAAACCCGGTCTCTACTAAAAAATACAAAAATTAGCCGGGCATGGTGGCACGCGCCTGTAGTCCCAGCTACTTGGGAGGCTGAGGCAGGAGAATTGCTGAAACCTGGGAGGCGGAGGTTGCACTGAGCCGCACCACTGCACTCCAGCCTGGGCGACAGAGCGAGACTCTGTCTCAAAAAAAAAAAAAAAAAAAAAAATACAAACTACCGCAACTTACCCAATATGAAAGAGAGAGCTCATATAGCCCAGTAATTGTTAAGAAAATAGAGTTTGTAATTTTAAATCCTCCCCCAGCCCCAAAATATCTCTAGACCCAGATGGTCTCTCTGGAGTTACTTACAAAGGATCAGGAATGAAGATCATGGGTGGACTTCTGAACAGCAATGCTGGAAGCTGTAAGACCGTGCAGCAATGCCTTTGAAAACTGAGATGAAATTTTTCCTACTGAAAATTCTGTTCCAGCTAAATGATCAACGAAGTGTGAGGATTAAATAAAGACATTTTCAAATACGCAAGCCTGAAACTTTACCTCCAATGCCTTGATGAATATGCTCCCCCAAAACAAGAGAATAAATTAAGAAAGGAAGACATGGGGTCCAGGAACAGGGGATCTTTCAAAGGAGAGGGACATTTACAATCTCCTAGTAAGTGATGAGACAGATACCAGGATGATAGCTGTGCAGCAAATCTAGAGAATGAGAAGGAAGAAGCCCCAGGGAACATATTTCCAAGAAAATCAGTGGATCTCTTTTGTTGGGAAATCTGGTAAAAGTATTAGTTATAGGAACACAGAAAACAAGACAAATTAAAAAACAAACAATGACTAACTCCAGGAAAAACAAGGAGTCGTACTATCAGAAAGAAAATATAATCATAATATGCTATGTATCCTCACTGTGAACAAAATTTCCACAGTTATAATAACATAATCATCTAATTATAATTTAGCTATGTATTTTCATGTAACTATATTGGGAGGATGTAGGATGCAAACACAAACAGGTGTGTATGGCTAAAGGTATCTGTGAAATTTTCCATATAAAATTTCCCAGATATCTTTTATACAAGTCAATAGAGAATATCCAAATTGGAAAAATTAATGAATAGTAAGTGTGTCACTTAGACAAGTGGATGTAAATACAAGAAATAACACTAAAAGAATTAAAATGGGTTGTCTCAGGGGTATGGTACTCAGGGGTATGGATGACAGGTACATTTTTTTTTTCCTTATATGCCTTGTAATACTACTTGGCACTGTAAACTGTGTATATGTACTACTTTGATAAAAATTAAAATTATGATAACATCTATTTAGATACTTTTTTTTTTTTTGAGATGGAGTTTCACTCTTGTTTCCAGGCTGGAGTGCAGTGGCACAATCTCAGCTCAGTGCAACCCCCGCCTCCTGTGTTCAAGCGATTATCCTGCCTCAGCCTCCTGAGTAGCTGGGATTACAGGTGCCTGCCACCATGCCCAGCTGTTTTTTTGTATTTTAAGTAGAGACAGGATTTTACCATGTTGGCCAGGCTGGTCTTGAACTCCTGACCTTAGATGATCCGTCCACCTCGGCCTCCCAAAGTGCTAGGATTACAGGCATGAGCCCCTGTTAGATAAGTTTTGAGTGTTCCTTTGTTCTCATTATGAACTTTCACAGCTCTGCCCACCAGCTAGCTCTGCTACCCACACTCCGAGATGTGGAGAGCAACAAAAGCAGAGGGGATTGACATTTCTTCACCTGGTGAAATGGGTAAAAGGTTTCAATTAAGCTTCTGTGAAACAGTCAAACAGTGAGTACTGTGAAACAGTGAATGGGAACAACTCACAGCCCTCTCAATATCGTGGTTCTCATTTGCCTGACTGAGTAGCAGGAAGTTTATAGTTCAGGATATTTTTGTTGACCAAAAGGTGAGATATTTGGAGTTTGTTTATGTATAATCTCAGCATATAAACTCAGAAGCTTTTCAAGCAAATCCCATTATTGACCTTGGAAATAAAACGTCTAGGAAGCTCAGAAATGATGAAGGTGTTCTCAAAAACAAAGGGTAAAGCTTTCCTCCATCTGGGGTTTTGACAGTGTCCACCTGAAGAAGGCCAAGGTCCATCACTCGGACAAGCCCTCCCTTCAAGGTTGTGTGGGCCTCCAATTCTGCAGTGTGGAGCTCTTGTTAAATATTTTTATGGGCAGAAGCAACGCAAAAGGCCTGCCTGGAGAATTCTCTCTTGACAGGAAGGTGAGCTGCAGTGGGAGAACTAGGGCCTTTTTCTTTTCCATTGATGCTCTGAGCAAACTCTGATAAAGTATAAATAATAATAATAAAATAAAAAAACCATCTAGGCTGAGCATTAAAAAAAAAAAAAAAAATCACGCCTGTAATCCCAGTGATTTGGGAGGCCAAAATGAGAGGATCACTTGAGTCCAGAAGTTTGAGACCAGCCTGGGCAACCTGGGGAGACCTCATCTCTACAAAAAATAAAAATAAATTGGCCAGGCATGGTGGTGTGTGCCTGTAGTCCTAGTGCCTCAGAGGCTGAGGCAGGAGGATCACTTAAGCCCGGGAGGTCAAGGCTGCAGTGAGCCATGATCAGGCCACTGCACTCCAGCCTGGGTAACAGAGCAAGACCTTGTCTTAAAAAACAAACAAACAACAACAACAACAACAAAAAACTCTCCAAACATACACCTTTCCCTACCAGGGTGAAGAATCCGAGGCTGCAGGCAGGCCTGGCTGCATAATGTGCAGAACCCAGTTCCCACACAATGATAATGCAGGGCCTTTTATAAAAAAAATTAGTAAGGACTTCAAAATGGTGAGAGCAGAGTGTGAAACCAAACACAGGACCCTGTGAGACTGCACAAGTCACAGCCCAGGGAGCAGCCCTGGGTGCATGGTCTGATGAAAATGTTGTCTGGATTGAAGTAAAGACCCATGTTTCTATTTGTTCATTGGAAGTTCATATCATGGTTACCTTCTTAGAGGTAAGAGCTCCACTTTGGGAGGCCGAAGAGGGTGGATCACTTGAGGTCAGGAGTTTGTGACCAGCCTGGCCAACATGGTGAAATCCCATCTCTACTAAAAATAAAAAAAATTAGCTGGGCATAGTGGTGGGCACCTGTAATCTCAGCTACTTGGGAGGCTGAGGTAGGAGAATCGCTTGAATCTGGGAGGCGGAGGTTGCAGTGAGCCAAGATCACGCCACTGCAGTCCAGCCTAGGCAACAGAGCAAGACTGCATCTCAAAAAAAAAAAAAAAAAAAAGCTCCAGGTGTCTGAAACCTAGGTATGCTCTTTTTCTACCAGAATGACCACAGTGAAAGGTTGTGACCAGGGAGGCGGTGCAATCAGAGCAGACACCATGTGTCTGTCCAGCAGCCGTCTTTATTCCTATAGATTGGGAGGTTTAGGCTGATGCCATCAGCACTGCTCTACATGCCCTCCCCTCCTGCAAACCCAGAAAACACTTCTGAGAAGATCAAGTGCCTGATAGAAACGATTCCGTATCCCCCAAGTAAACAGCATGCATAAAAAGAAGCAGAACCCTTTATCCTTTAAAGAAAGTGTTTTGACAGATTTTCCATGTAATGTAAAGAAAATAAAGAAGAAAATTAAGAGTCTCTGCATATTCATGATATTTCCCCTGTGGAGCATTTTGGTGCTATTTCGATAGCCGTGGGTGGTACCCTCTCTGGGGAAGTTTCTAGCTCTAAATGACATGGAACATATACATGCTCGCATGAGCACATTGTATCTGCATTTATACCAAATCCTGGGCAAGATGGGGAGCTGAAATCATCACTGTGAGAAATGGACATTGACTCTGAAATACACCAAACTTTGGCCTGTGTTTGAGTTCTTCCAATTGGCTCATATTCAAACACAGAAATGTCATTTTAAAGATAAATCAAAGCTAGTAAATAAATATTAGACATTTTGGTGGTCAGATTCTAAATAACTAAGTGAAATTGCATCCACTTAAAATATTAAGTAGTTTTTCCCAAGGCTAAAAAGCATCTGTTTTTTTGCTATGAAAAAAAAATGTCAGTCGATGTCTTAGAAAAATGTCATTTGCTAAGTTTCCACATCTCCAAAGTGGGTCAGCCGTGATGCTTGTTTGTTTGTTTGTTCCTGCTCAGATTCACAGGCTTCTTGGGATTAACCATACGGGGTAAGTGAAGATGAAGCAAAAGGAATCTGATCTGAGATCCTGACCAAATTGTCCCTGTCATCTTCGAGGAGAGAACGTACGTCTATTAAGGGATACTTTGATCCCTCTCATCCCTTCAAAGTTTGGCTCCAATCTTACCTACCTGGAAAGGCAGTTGTGAAGATGTATCCCACACCCTTGAAATTAAATCTCCACCATGTCCGTCTTCTTCTCTTATATTCTCAGAGAGGATTATATTTGTTTGCAGTTAATTATCCTTTTGTTTATAAGAATGGTTTCATTTTTCTCACAAGTATACACATCATTCGCCTTTGTTGGAATGCAGTCTTGGAGAACAGTGTGGGTCTCCCCAGAGTATGCAGGACAGAACTGTGTCCCCAGAGCCCCCTCACATTGCTGCTGCTGTCTAACTGCCTCTCTCACTGTGTCAATGTTTGGCACTAATCACCAAAACAAATGCATCATTTGATCTGCTACAGGGAAACCTCAATTAAAAATATGTGAACATTTTATGCTTGGAGAAATAACTTATGTAAGGTTTTCTTCATAATACCTGATATCTCTTTTAAAGGGTATGCTTATTCTATAAAATATGTTAGATAAATTCTCGATAAGCCGCAGTGGTTGTTAAACAAACGCAACTACGATTAAGATAACAGCTGTGATAAATGGCTTAAAATAAACAATGAAATTCTTAGACATTTAAAAGGAACGTGGTAAGTGGAAAGAGCATAAATAAGATGGGAAACCAGGACATTGCTGTTCTTGATCCAGGCTAGGGCTCCAGTGTCCTCATCTTATCTGAAGGAAGTAGTTATGGTCTTTATGAGTTCTGTAAGGTTTATTAGTCTCAGTTACTTTTCTTTTTAAAAATTGTTTTTAAGCTTACAAAAGTATTCTTCCAGCTGGGGCTGCAAGGTAAAAAAAAAAAAAAAAAAAAAAAAAAAAAAGTATTATTAACCCCCTACAACAATGTCAAGCAATGTGGAATTTTTGAGTAAAATGTAAATGGTCTCCTTTTCCCTCTTCTGACTCCTCCCTGCCAGATCCTTGTGCAATTTCTGTACACCTCATGTGTGCACACATGCACATGTGAACATGTGGATTTTTTGGTATATAAATGATACCACATATACATATTGTTTGGAGTTTTACTGTTTTCATTTAGTAACTGACATTTTTCCAATCAAATTCAAATCCGTTTCATCCTACTCATAGGCTGTATGATATTCCATAAAAGAGTCACATCATAATTATTCTTCTGTAGAAAGCCACTTAAGCTGCTTCTTATTTTTGATCCTACTTGTAATGCTTCCATGAACATCCTTGTACAGGTATCTTTGAGTGTGTACATGAATATCTTTGTAGGAAAGTTTCTAGAAGAAAAGTTTCTGGGTCAAAGAGTTTGTGCATTTTTAATCTTAATGGGTATTGCCAAACTGACTTCCCAAAGGATTTTTATCATTCCAGAGATAGTCCATGAGACTGTCCATTTCCTCACAGCTTTACCAACACTGGATGTTACCAGATTTTTTTTTTTTGACTCTCTAACAATATGGTTTAATTGGCATTTCCCTGTTTAAATTTGCATTCACCTTATTATCAATAAGATGAAAAATCTCATTAGTTATTGATTTTTGTTTCTCTTTCTATTTCTTCTCTTTCGTACCTACAGATTTCATCAAATATCTGATCATCCTTTGTTGATCATACTGTTTACAAACAAATTAATAAAATTCAACAAAATTAATAAATTCAACAGTATTCATAGTTGGGTTGCATTTCTTCTGCAATTATTACTCTTATTTACTCTTTCTTTCTTCCATAAAACTTTCCTCAGAATTGGAGGGCTTTGGTGGAAGTGAGCAGTGCATGGTAGGGAGCCAGTACAAAGGCTGGAGGCCTCATCAGTTCCAAGGAAGGAAGGCTTTGTTCTGGGAGCCTTCGTGTCACTTCTGAGAGGAGCTGCATTTGGGGGATTTTCCTTCCATCCAAGCTATTATAGACATTTCAGGCTCAGCTTCTCTCTCCAGCCTCAACATCTAAAGTAGAAGCCCCCCGTCCCCAGATCCTTCCTAGACTAAAACCGTAGTCTGGGAGCTCTGGTTTGGGGACAAACACCTCGAAGCTAGCCAGTCCCCTTGGGCCAGGCGGGAGAAGGTTGTAAGAGTCCCAGCCGTTCTGCAGACAGCCCTTCTTCCACTGCTCACCTTGTATATCTCCTTCACAGCCCACTCGTGCTCTAGGTATTGGTGACTTGGGAGTTTCTGAAAGGCTCCCACCTCTGTAGCAGCCTCCTCCTGCATGGGTTTTGGATTTCAATTCTCTCAGTCCATCAAATTAAGTGGGTCTCTGCTGGGGGCATCTGACAATGTTTGAAGATATTTTTGGTTGTCACAATTTAGGGGGAGTATCGCCGGTATTTAGTGGGTAGAGGCCAGGCATGTTAATAAACCCCCTACGATGCATAGGACAGCCCCGCAACAAAGAATTATCCAGTCCAATGTCTCAGTAGAGCCAAGTTTGAGAAACCCTGATCTAATCCCACCTATTTTCTTTCTTTAATACACCCTTTCCTGTTTCCCAATGCTTATATAACTTTATTCTTTTGAAACATATTTCGTGTAATTTCAATGAGATTGGGGGAGAGAGAGGATGTCTTAGACAGTTCTGGCTGCTGTCACAAAGTACCGTCAAATGGGTGGCTTATGAACAAGAGAAATTTCTTCCTCACTGTTCTGGAGGCTGGAAGTCCAACATGGTCAGGTTCTGGTGGGGGCCCTCTTCTGGGTTTCAGACTGCTGACTTCTCATTATATCTTCACATGGTTAAAAGAACAAAAAACCTATCTGGAGTCTCTTTTATCATGGAATGAATCCCATCATGAAGGCCACCCTCATGACCTAATCATTTCCCAAAGATTCCACCTCCTAATATCATCACCTTGGAGGCTACCATTTTAAGATACAAATTTTGGGGGACACATTTAGTCCATTGCAGAGGACAAGCATATTGATGAATTTAGTCTGCTGTCACAAATGAGGAGATGCAGTTTATTATTTTACTAATACACCTTGGGTAGAGATCAATGAGCAAACATTTCTTAAATATGCACCACGTACATGCCACGCGCATACACTCTGTAGTCTGAGTCAAGCTTGAGGACTGTGGAAATGGGTTCAGATTTCATTCTCAAACTCTTCTCTTCCTATTACAGTTTTTCACAAGTCACATCTGACTAAAATGAATGCATAGTGCAGTGTTAAAGGGCCAAAATTGTAAGTGTCAACATATACAAAAAGGCTGTGTGTCACAAGGGAAAAGATCATCCCCTACTCTACTTTGTTGTCTTGGTGATAGTGGGGAACTTGCAGGCTGCTTGTGGTGTTTCTAACTTGATATCCAAACATGAGAGCTCATGTTCCCAGGAAAACAGAAGGTTGGAGTTGAAAGAACCTTAGAGATCATATGGTTTGTGGTTGACTGTTACATTCATGGCCTCCATGAAGTACATCCTGTGTAGTCTCCTTTCCCATTGACTATGGGCT
The DNA here is from genome assembly GCF_000001405.40 of Homo sapiens. Classification (NCBI taxonomy): domain Eukaryota; kingdom Metazoa; phylum Chordata; class Mammalia; order Primates; family Hominidae; genus Homo; species Homo sapiens. The sequence continues at coordinate 14,536,541 of NC_000006.12, forward strand.
CAGCCATGAGACTTGCTTTGGCCACCAGGATGGCAGCAAATATAATGCCAGGAAAGGCTTGATAAATGCTTTTGCTTCAGGTCTTCCTCCTTTTGGAACACAGCTGCACCAGTCAGAAACTCAGTATCCTGCAAGACACAGGGCATCCTGGCTGGCAGCCCAGGCTAATTACCAGACAGGTGAGTGAAGACACCTTGGACTACCCAACCTTAGGTGAGCTGCTAAAAGGCTGCCTCTGAATGAGTGAGCACTGGTAAGACCAGCAGAAGAACCAACCAGCTAATCCCAGCTTAACGGCAGAATTGTGAGCAAATAAATTGTTGTTGGTATAAGCCATTGATTTTGAGGCTGTTTGTAACATCAGTAGATACACATAGTACAACAACTTCCTTTTAGAGACAAGACAATTAAGAAAGTCATGCTATACATAGTAGCCAAATTCTCAGGCCAGCTCCACAAAAGCCCACAATAGGCCTGAAGGTGGTACTAATAATATTCTTTCAATTACCTCCACACCATGTCACATTATGTAAAGGGTGAGTTCTTGGTCTCAACATTGCATGTCAAGTTTATGTTATGCACACACCCTCTCTCTTATACTCCTTAATACTGCCACCCCCATTTAAGTTGGGAAAGAGGGAGTAGACTGTAGTAGCTACTTCTAAAACTCTCCCAAGTGCTACTGCATTAAAGAAACATCTTTCCAGACTTTCCACATTCCAGATGTTCTGAAAAAGGAAGCCAGTCAGGTGGTTGGTTGCACAAGGACCCAGATCTCAAAGGGAGTAGGAAATTAATTCTGATTGCTGTTGAGTATAGAAAGGCTCAATTTTATGTTCTGATTTGTAAAATCGGGCACTGCCTACCTCTGAGCACCAAGTGTCCCCAGTCTGGCAGCTCTAATCACATGGCACAGAATCACAACTCTTAATTGAAGGATGACTCTTGGCTAAGTTCCACAGGACACTAAGAAGTTTAACACATAATTCTAGACCTCAAGGGATTTTCTGTCTAGATGAAAAGAGAGATCACATGCCTACAGGAAAATGTCATCAATAGAGCTTAAGTTGGTTTAAACAATTGTTATCATACTGGTTATGAAGTTGTTGAAATAATTCCCTATTAACAGACTCAAGTCTCCTGAGATCCCCGAGCCCTTGCACCGGTGTTCCTGGCTCCTCCTCCAGGTTCCAGAGCTCCCAAAAACTCTCCCAGGATCAGCAACTGAAGCACTGAAGCTTTCCACTACAGGCAATCTCCACAACCCTGTCTATCATGGCCCTGTCCATTCCGATTGGCCAGTGACCATCAAGTATAGGTTATTAAATATTCTGAATATCACTGTGGAGGATAGGCAGTAAACTTTAATTTCTAAACGAGTGGCAGAGATGCCAGGTGTTGCCATGTTAGGTGAGCTGCTAAAAGGCTGCCTCTGAATAAGTGAGCACTGGTAAGACCAGCAGAAGAACCACCCAGCTAATCCCAGCTTAATTGCAGAATTGTGAGCAAATAAATGGTTGTTGGTATAAGCCATTGATTTTGAGGCTGTTTGTAACATCAATAGATAAACATAGTACAACACCTTCCTTGAATATGTCCAAAGGGGTAGATAACATGCACCGCTATATTAGCATACTCAGAGGGGAGGTTTATATGATCTGGAGAGATGGGTGGTACACAAATAATGAGGGAAGACCAAGGCCCTTGCTATGCCCAATTCATAAAACATAATTAGAATAGTGTAAGTACAAGCCAGAAGTTGCCCAGTTAAACGACAGAACTGGGGATGCAGTTTGGGACTTTATAATCCCTATATCCATGCTAATCCCCAGAAAAGAGGGGGACAAATTATTTTCTAAAATAAGTAACTAAAATGGGATATGGAGGCAGGATGAAAAAGGTTGTTCCAAGGCTAGGGTTCTTCCAGGGAGTGAGATTTTTTTTGAAGACTAGCAGGTGATATGCTTGAAAAGGAAGAAAAGAGCCATAAATAAAAACACACACACACAATTCTAGCAGACTCTGGTTTCCCATGAACGCAATCAACAGAATAGATTTTGTAGTTTTTTTGTAGCTCAACATACTTACAGTTGCCAAACCATACTGTTAATATTTTACCAGATGAGTATCTTTTTATGATCTGTGTTCAATATAATTGATAGCACTACTAAGTATACTGAACACTTACAACGCCAAAATAAAAAATAATTTATTCTAACACTATCACAACAACAAACATCATTAACATCACACCAACCATATCACTTTTCACTGTTTCATTCATCTCTAGCCATTCCACTGCCCCAGCTCACCAGAGGAGTCAAGCTTAGAGTGTGGCCCAAGCTGTTGAAAGAGGGTGACCAGGATGCTGGAGCTCACGGTCATCAAAGGCCTGTCTGCATAAGCCCCTCATTTAAAAGAGAGAAATGTGGGCTAGGCATTCCCTGGAATCCCATGACATTGACAGTCTTGGAAGAATGAAAGAGTTTAAGCCTTTCTAGTCTAATGTCTAATTTGAGAGGACAGCCGACTTCTCAGAACGGAAGCCAGAGAATATTTATGACTAATCTAGTCTCCCCTTTCCTTCTGTAATGCTCTGCAGTTCTAAGAAGGCAAAGGACATTTCAAGAAGGAGAAACAACCTGTGCAAAGGCTCAGAGAAAAAAAAAGGTGGAACGAGGCCACATTTGAAGGATGATGAGGGGTCTCAAGAGGCTGGTGGGACCTGGATGGATTTTGACCAAGAAAGGGAGGTGAGTTTACTCCATTTGTATGTATCCTTGAGGTACATTAGCTACTTCAGGGCCAGAAATAGATGTTCTGGACTATGTCTTGATTAAATTAATAGAATTCACGTGATAGGATCCTCTCTATCTCATTTTATATAGTAGCTATGAGCAGTGTCCCAATTCTATTTTACACTTAATAAATTGGGAGCACACTAATACCAACGAGTGAAGACCTTTCCTTAGAAGGCTCCAGTCCTTGGAAAAGTTGATGTCTCCTCGAAGCCCTAAAACTTCTGAAGTCCTGTGATTAAAGTGGTAAATAATAGGTCATTTTTTAGGCAGAACAACCAAGGCATACTGTTATGGACTGAATTGTGTCTCCCCCACAACCCTCCCAAAATTCATGTGTTGAAGTCATAAGCCTCAGTATCTCAGAATGTGACCTTATTTGGAGATAAGTTCTTTAAAGAGGTAATTAAGTTAACGCGAGGTAATTAGGATGGAGCCCTAACCCAAGAGGACAGATGTCCTTATAAGAAGAGGAGAGGAGGAACAGCCACACACAGAGGGAAGACCACGCGAGGACACAGGGAGAAGATGCCACCTACAAGCCAAGGAGAGAGGCCCCGGGAGAAACCAAGCCTGTGGACACCTGGATCTCGGGCTTCAGCCTCCAAAACCATGAGAAAGTACATTTCTGTTGCTGAAGCCCCCCCAGGCTGTGGTGCTTTGTTAGGGCAAAAATCCCGAGCAGACAAATATGTACACCAGTCCCAGCGCCCAGCCTCATACGGGCCTATGTTAAGTCAACTCTCATGTGCCAGATTCTGCTTCCTCCAGCTTTAGGTACAAAGGAGGGCAATGAGCCGCCCTTTTACCTATGTTCTCTCAACACGGATCATCAAAAGGGGGCAGAAGGAAGTGGGAAGGAGGCCTGAGAAGTTGCCAAGGTAGATAAGAAGTCCTCAGAGGGTACCGCAGGACATTCTGGGGCTCAGGGTTGGGAGGACTTTGTGGAGATTGTGCTTCAGTCCTGCCCCACAGGACTGTCATGAGCACTGGTGGGTTTGAAGGGAATGTGGACAGAAGGAAGAGGCACTCACTCCCTGGAAGGGCCATCCTTCATGTTTAAAATAGCCTCAGTCAACCCTGCCAGATGACAGTGAGTCACAGGATGGTGGATTTCTTACCTGCCCCTTGGCCAGAGCCACCATCGTTGCGGCCAGCAGCGTGGCCCGGCTCCCTTTGTCCAAAACAAACACTAATGCAGGCAGGCAGCCCTGTGGGTGAGAAGGCTCAGGAGGGTGAAGGCTTGTTTTGGAGGTCATCCCATTTAATCCTTCCCTTCTGCCTTTCTCTTTGTTTCTCACTGAAGCCCAGAAAGCTTGCCTGGTCGTGATTTTTTATTATTAGTAGTATTAATACTAGTGTCTTGCCTTTCGGTTTGGATGGCCTGCAGAACTCATGCCCAGCAGTGCACGGCCACTAAGCCCACTGAGGCAGGGGGCTTAACTGGGCTAGGGGGCTTCTAGCTCCCAGCCTCTGTGGGCTATTTTTGCGGGTTTTCTCGCTCTCTCCCAGCAAGCCTCGTGTCTGTGGGATGTACCCAGTCTTTCCCGTGCGCGCATTTGAAAGGAGCAGATGAAAGCTGCTCCTCTGAGCCCGCCTAATTGGAGAGAATTGCAGTTTAGAGGTAAGGGTTGGGCCTAATAAGCAAGCAGGGGAGGGTGCATAGAGGAGGGGGCGGGCTAGGAGGAGAAGAGCTTTTTATGAAAATGTGGGCCTCCCCACTGTCATTCCCCTTCAGCTGCTGCCTCGCAGATGGACCCTTTAATTGAATTTTCCTACAGGCCTGGGGGAGGGAGTCATTTCAGGTCCAGAGAGCAATTGAAGTGAATCCGAGGGCTTTGGTTTCTTTTCATCAGGAGCTGAGGGCCAGGTGGGGTGGGTGTCAGTCTTGGTATTTTCATCTTGTGCCTGCTATCTTTGTCTACCTTGCCATTCTTCTCATTTTCCCCCTTTTAAAAATCCACACTCAGGATTATGTTGCTACATCCTGGACTTAGTCATCGCAGAAGCTTGGAGGAAGATGAATTAGAAAGATAGGGTTTTGTTTGATTCCATTGGTTCAACCTTTTACTGAGCACCTGCTGTTTGCCTAGGCCTATGTTCAGCTCTGATGAAGACAGTGGGAAGTTCAATGCATGCCTTCTGAGAATTTCTGCCTAATCAGAAAGAATGCCCTTAAAAATAAAAGAAAAAAGCAAAACAAAACAAACAGCCAATAAACAAAACCAGCCGAAAGACCACAGAATGAGGCATGACATTCTAAACGGAATATGACCAAGCACTAAAATGTACGGGTAAGGCAACCAGAACAAGTCCCTTGAGGGTCAGAGGCATGTGGGCCACTTATTTTGGACAATAGACTGTAAATGGCCTGATATCAAAAAATGTACCTATAGAATGCTCAACACCTCTCTCTGCCCCGGGAAAAGCAAGAAAGCAGGGTAAGAAAAGGAAAATAGGGTCCAGTTCTCCACCTTCTGTGAAAATAGCAAGGGTGTGCCTGTATCCAGGATTCTGCTGAGAGTCCTGTAGGTTCGAGTATGATCCCAGGAACGCTGTGAAGAAACCTGAACATCCACCTGTCTGTATCTTCAACCATCTTAATTGAGCTTCACGAGATGGAAAATGTGGTCATGTAGAGGGGAAGAAAATCTCTTACCACAAAACCATGCATTGGTTCGTTCATTCATCAATGTTTAAGTGTCTACCATATTTCTGAGTCTCTGTTCAAGACTGGAGATACAAAGTCAAATATCACATGGTTTCTGAGGTTAAAGGAGGGTAGCACCATGTGGGCATAACTTAATTCTTTTGTTAGTATTTTATAGCAAGAAAACTTAGTTGAAATCTGGGCACAGAGTACTTAATGGATATAGTAGGTGAGGGAAGAACACGAACTGCCTCTGTATAATAGATATCCCTAAATACAAAACATTCTAAGCAAAGCAGGAAGCCTGTGAGTTCTTTATTGTGGCCCTCAGTGGCAGCCACGTGAGGCTTGGCATAGCAGTCGTCCTCTGGTGCTCAGGGGACAGTAACTGAAGCTACTAGGGAGGATGGGGTGACCAGGAGAGGTGAAACCAGAACTGTGCTACAAAAGAGGGAGAGGATTTAGATGGAAAGAAAAGGAAGGCTACTCTGAGCCGATCACCCCTGGCACAGATGTAGAGGTGGGAATGAGAATGGATATATAGAGAGAGGTGGCCGGCCTATCTGTGTAGGACCATGCCCACGGCAAATGGGAGAAATGTGTAGTCAGGTGAAGTCAAACCATCAAGGCGGATCCTCATTTGCATAATGAGGAATTTATTCTCACAGAAAAACAACAACAAAAAAATTAACTTTCATCAGGTTCCTGATACAACCAGTTACTTTTTTCATCTTGATTATTTATCATTGTCATGATCGTCATCATCGTCATCATCATCACCTAATCCTTACATGACTACTGTGAAGTAGCAAATGTAATCGATTGTAGAGGGAAGGAGATCCCGGTTCAAACAGCATAAGTGACTCACCCAGCATCACAGAGCTAGCGTGTGGGTGGAACTGAGAGTCATGCATCAGCTCCTGCACCACAGCTGCCTCCCTGGCAGGGAGCAGGAGAACAGGGTCGTGGCCAACATCCCCTTGCTCACTCCTTGGGTACTCTAAGTATTGCCTGGGTATGTGGTGACCAGGGGGGAGGCGAACAGAGCCCACCAAAAAGCACTGGGGTCACCATTTTAGAAGCTGTCCCCCTGCCAATCCTCTGAGGCCAGCCTGCCCTACTCTTCCTGATGAGAGGTACCAGGAAAGTGTTCATTATGCCACCTGCTGTGTTAAGCACTTTACATTCATTACTTCAATTAATTCTCACGCCAACCCTTGAAAGTAAGAATTATGGCTCTTGTTTTACACCTTAGGACATGGCGGCTCTGAGAAGTTGGTCTGACTCCAGTGACTGAGCTCTTTCCCCCGGGCAGCTGTGTGCTGTAAGATGCTACCTCTGGAGCACTCCCCTCTGCCAATGTCTTAGAGTTCACACTCAATAAACATCTTTTCAGAGATAAGTACATGCCACCCACTGCTAGCCACACACCTTGCCAACTCTACTTAAAAAATAAAAGCAAAAATCTTCAAGTATTGATTCATAAGGAGCTTGACGCATTAATGAGAACTGGTGTCAGTGGGTGACTTGCGCAGTCACCAAGGGGAGGAAGGCATCCCATTCCTCCTTGCTTTCCCCAGGGAGGACCCCAGGGATCACCTACCAAAAATCGTCAACTCAGCCTTCACATACGAATGCTTGGAACCTGGTGATCGATAATGACAAAGCTGATGTTTGTTGATCGCTGTGTAGCAGTCACTGTGCTAAGAACTTCACGTATATGGTGGGATAGTATTTCAAAGCAGGGTGTCTCAATCTTGATACTACTGACATTTGGCACCAGATAATTCTTTTATACAGGAGGTTTCTCTGTGCATTGTAAGATGCTTAGCAGCATCCCCGACCTCTTTCTACTAGATGCTGGTAGCATCTCACTCCCTCCCAGTTGTGACCATCAGAAATGTCTCTAGACATTGCCCAATGTCTCCTGGATGCCAAAGTTGCCCCCAGTTGAGGACCACTGCTTTAGAGTATAAATTGATGTGCCTCTAAATTGATATGTTGGGATCATTTGCCTCTAGTTCAGGCGAGCACAGAGACCAACAGCAATCCTTATCAGCTTTGACTTGGGCCATTCCGGGCCATTCTGCACCATCTGCCTGGAATTCTGGGTAACAGGGTCATGCCTCAGGTCAACCTTCCCCCATACAGCCAACACATAGCAACATGAGCCCCACTCATGAAGGACCACAAACATAATTAATTGTCCCCAAACCCCTGGGCTTTGGGTTTCCTGAGTTCGTATGCTTGGGAACAGCTGCTAGTGGACATAAAACGCTGGGAGAACCCTTTCAGATCCTGCCTTGCCACTAATTAGATGTGCAATCTTGCAAAGTGACTTAAGCTCTCTAAGGCTCAGTTTTCTTCTCTGTAAAATCAAGATAACAGCACTTTCATCACATGGGTTCTCGGGAAGATTAAACAGGATGCTAAATATAAAACACCTCCTCTTGTGCCAGGCAACATAGTAGGCTTAATCAATCTAAATTGTCTTTGTCCTCACCCTTATCTCCCCAAGACAAAGATAGGATTTTATCTGGAACAAAACCCAGTGAAGGGTATGTTAACGAATTCCATCAAACAGAGCCATGATATGAATGAATGGCTATATTTCCTTCCAAGCATGATTTTTGGTCTTGGCATAATTCAACCCCTTTTTGATTCTCCAAGTAATCTCTCTTCAACCGAGTACACAGACTTGATGAATCAAGGCTGCTTTTGGAGCCCTCACCAAGAAAGGTGTGGGCCCCTCTGCAGGTGTCTGCACTCCGATAAGCTTGTCAGCAGAGGCTTTTCAGAGCCTGCCTCATCTGTCAGATGTACAGGTGTGCCTGGGCTCAGCTTACACCCTGAGTCAGGGTCACGGTTGGCAAGATGGAGTTTTTCCCCAGGGATGGAAGCCTTATCAACTTGAATAACAACCTGCTGCAGCCTGGTGCCTGCAGAGGGCAATGAATAAGCTTCTCTTTGCCCTGCATCCAAAAGCCAAGAGCCAGTGCACATTCTCAAGGGAATCAGATTGGGGGTGGGTTCTTGGTAAAACTGAAGATTATCAGGCCAAAAGAAACAGAAAAATAGATGGTAGCTGCTTAGTAAGCTTTTGTGTCTTTTAAGGTTTAACTGATTAAGAAAAACCTAGAAGATTCTAGACTGGAAATCCAGTTTTGGATTGCCTCTGCTCTTCTCTCGGGCATGCATTTTCCTGAGTATCGAGAGAGAGAGAGAGAGAGAGAGAGAGAGAAGTAAATACATATGATGCTGAAATCTGAAAATCTTTCTAATGGTTGCAGTTGAGAAAATCATTTTGATGAAAGAGGAAGGTAAAGCTTTTGGATGAAATGGAATTTGGGAGTAATTCAGATTTCATTTATTCTCTTTCTTGTTCTCTCTTTAAGTCAGTAGGGCCCTCTAACAGTCACTGTAAAATATTCTGCCTATAGCAGTTTGCTTTATCCATAGTTGCTGTGATACAGTTATTAGAGGAAGCACAGCCAGTCTTAGGAGGTAGGCCTCTCTCTGGTATCACCTGAAGAAGCCATTTGAGGATTCTACCCAAGATCCATGGAGGAAGAGTCTCTGTCACCAGCCTGCTGTGACCCAGCTGGGCTGGAAGCTTGGCTGTGTGAATATTGTAAAAGTTGCATGATTTGAACGTAGACTCAGCTGGGCTAATGAGGACAGGACTTCAGATAACCATGTGACGAGATCACTCTCCTTCCACAGAATAATGCCTCTTGGGGATGGTGGATGGTGAAGTATATCAACATTTAAGAGCTGAAAATAAAAACTTTGTGTTCCCCAGGAAAATGATGAAATCACCCAGAACCCAACTGAATATCAGCTAATAATTAAGAGCACAGACTCCATAGTTTGCCCTGCTTTTAAACCCTGGTTAGCTTACTAGTTATGTGAGAACTTGGGTAGGTTACTTGCTTATTCTTTGCCTCAGTTTCTCCATCTGTAAGACAGGGAAAATAATGGTATCTGTATTTGTTTTTTAGAGCAACTGAAACAAGTCATCACAAACTGGGCAGCTTAAGCAACAGAAATTTATCCTCTCACAGTCCTGGAGGCCAGAAGTTCCATAGCAAGGTGTCAGCAGGTCCATGCGCTCTCTCTGAACGCTCCAGGAAAGACTCCTTCCTTTCCTCTTCTAGCTTCTGGTGGTGGCCGTCAAGCCTTGGCATTCTTTGGCTCACAGCTGTATCACTCCAATCTCTGCCTCTCTCACCACATGATGTTTGCCCTGTGTCTGTGCCTTCTCCTCTTACAAGACACCAGGCATATTGAATTTAGCACCTATCGTAACCTAGTATGACCTCATTTTAATGTAATTACATTTCCAAAGATCCTATTTCCAAATAAGGTCACATTCTCAGGTACCTAGGATTAGGACTTCAATACGATCTTTTCAGAAGACACAGTTCAACCCACAGTAGTACCCCATGGGATGTTGTGTGAATTAAGTGAGATAATATGAAAAGAGCTTAGACCAGTGCCTGGAACATAGGAACATGAACTACTTATTCTTTCTAAACCTTACGATAAGCTCATAAGGGTGGATCTTATTGCACTTCTTCAACAGAAGAGAAACCCTAGGCTGGAGGTGAAAGAAATTGGCCTAAAGCCACCCACGTAGTTAGTGGTACAGTTCAAGTTTAGAGTGGCTTGCTCTAACTCCAGAACCCAAGTACTTCTAATAATCTATTACTCCGTACTCCTTCTAGAGCGACTTGGCTTTCTAGAACAAACCAGTTTCTTCATACTTTCCTTATAAAACTCACTTTCCAACCCTGGGGTTCTCCTACTTCACTCTCCTGCCACCTGCCACGAATTATTCAAGTTCAAATTCACTACTTTAGAACCCCCAATTAAAAAGCACTCAGCTAGAATGGCGGTGATTCTTGCATATATCTTTAACCAAGCTTGGCCAACCCACTCTTGCAAGCCACATGCAGCCCAGAACGGCTTTGAATGCAGCCCCCCAAAATTCATAAACTTTCTTAAAACATCATGAGATTTTTTTGTGATTTATTTTTAGCTCATCAGCTAGCAATAGTGTTAGTGTATTTTGTGTGTGACCCAAGACAATTCTTCTTCTTTCAGTGTGGCCCAGGGAAGCCAAAAGATTGGACCACCCCTCCTGCCTTTAACCCTTACTCATTCTTAGTACAATGTCAGGTTTAACCAGGACATCAAAATAGACTGCAACATTTCCTTACCTCAAGGGTTTATGGATGAGAAACATCAGCCAATTACAAATGAATTTACAATATGCCGGATAGTATTCTAAGTGCTTTAACAAATATTGACACATTAAATCCCCCTGACAACTCTGTGAAGGAAATATTGGTTTATTCCCATTTTACAGATTAGGAATATGCAGACACAGAAAGGCTAAGATCACAGAGCTAGAATGTTCCAGAACAGGGACTTGGCTGGGGTAGTCTGCCTTTTAGTTCCAGAGCCTATGCTTTTACGCACTGTGTTCCATGTGCAGTGGATTTATTTAAACATCCCCTGAGGACATTAAGGTTAGTTTTAATATTTTGACATTCGAAACAATGCTAGAGTAAACATCCTCAAGCTAAATCTTTACGCACAACCCGAATTATTTTTCTGGTAGAATTGTTGTGTCAAAGAGTAAGCATGTTATTAAGGCTTTGGTATGTAACGTCAAATTGCATGAATGAGGGAAGGAGTTCTCAGGAAGTGAAAATGGGATCAGCAACAGCATGAAATGGAAAAGCATGGGGGTATGTCTGGAAAATGGCAAACACTCCAATCTGAATGGAATGTAAAGTGCTTGAAGACAAGAGATTGAAGCACTGCTTCTAAATTGGTCTGGACCCAGCTTGTGGAGCACTTTGAACACCAGACTTCAGAATTTAGACTCTGTCGAGCAGCACTCAAAAACCAGCATACATTTTTGAACTGGGGAGTGAAATGATCAGATTCTGTCTAAAATAATTTGCTCAAGAAAAACTTGAGGAAAGAAAAACTTCTTTCCCTTCATAAGAGGAGTCATTCATCACAACTGCATCAGTACAAATGGACTGGTGGGGGTATATTTCATTATTCTTTTAACATGGTACATTCTTGAAATTACCTATTTTTACACACAGAGAAATAAAAGGATTAATATAAAGAATAAATATATCAATAACAATAATTATATGTATTCTATTTTAATATATGGATTATTTTATATATTCTATAAATGTATAATATACTTAATATTATAATGTATAATAATACAGTAGTTTCCTCTTATCCGCAGTTTAGCTTTCCAATGTTTTAGTCACCCATGGTCAAGGGCAGTCCAAAAATAATAAATGCAAAATTTCAAAACCACAGAACACAGAAGATGGTTCGAATGAGTATTTTTTTAAGTTGCCCATGGATGGTATATCACTAACATCATTCTAGATGTAGAAATGAGAAGTTAGTTCATTTCACACAATGGATGCCCCAGGACATTAGGGCTTCATTCTCTGCATAAATGGTTGAGAAAAACTGGTAGAATGTATCTTAGGAGTGGAATTTCTGCTGGGGGTGCACAATTCCTATGGTACCTGACGGTGCCACAGGGTTGTATCAAGGTACACTCATTGGTAAGAGAATTCACAGCTCTACAGCACTGCCAACAAATCAGGTTGTTAAAATGCTTGCTACTCTGAAAGGAGTAAAATAGCATTACAGTGTCTTGAACTTGCATTTCTGCCATTACAAATATGGAAATCTTTCTTTTTTCATATTTGTATAGACTAGGTTTCCTTCTTTCTGAATTTCCTGTTTAATCGCTGGTCCATCCATTTCTCAATTGGAGTATGTGTCTTTCTCTATCGATTTGTAGGCATTCTTTACATACCCTGATAGTAATCCTCTGCTGGTGATACGCATCATGGCAAGTATTCATTAAAGTAATCCTTTATGGTGAATTTTAATGTGTTGAGTCCTACTTTAAGGCTAATGCAGGAAAAAAAAAAAAGAAGTTCCCAAAAGGACAGCCAATATGTAAATATATTTACAGTTCCTTCACTAAATAGACAAGTATTACATATCTTCTATGGGTTAGACTCGGTAGGGGAAAGGTCTGGGGATATAGAAATAAACAAGTCAGGATATCTACCCTTAAGAGATTTGCAATGCAGAGGAGGAAACAAACATTTAAATTCTATTACAACCCCGTAAGAGCCATCATGGTTAGCGGTGAAATATTACACGTCTTAGCTGCCATAACGCCACTTTAGAGGAAAAAGGATAAACGTTTCTGCAGGTCATTATCACAAGACTGAATGAAGACAAGGAACAGGGAAAGCTTCTCTCCTGCACCTCAAGTCCCATTTCCTGGCAGGGCACAGGGTGACCAGTTCACAGATGTGGTAGTACCTGCTGTCCTCCAGAGCCACCACACCTGGCAGGACCAAAGTCCTTGAAATTACATTCTCTTAAGTATATACGTGCTCTTTGTTCTCTCACACCTCTGTAAACAAGGCTTTTTGCTGCTGTTCCCATCAAGCTGCTCCCTGCAACTGTGTAGAGAGACTGTCACAACAGCACTTGTCAGGAACTGCAGCGTAGCAAGCCATGACAGCTGGTGGCACGAGGAGCCCATGCATCTGCTTTTCTCCCTCTGCCAGGCCTCCCTGAATAATGGGAGGTCTTGTGTACACACGAATGATGCTATTGATCCTCCCACTGTGGGCCCCAAGCACTGCCGTTCTTTGTAAGTAGCTGGGGGTTGCGTTTACACTGCTCTCCTCACACACCACCACCTAATTCCCCCTGGGATCCAGGGAGCGTATTTGTACTTGGTTATAAGTGCAGAGAGCCCTGGAATCTTTATCAGGAGAGCAGAATTTGGGTGGCAGCCTTGTCGCATACCAGGTGGGTAGCTGTTTCTGTACCTCTTTTCTCATACCTAGGAAAATACCTGTTCTGAAGTTCTCAGTGAAACATATGTGAAATTACTTATGAAACTGATTTGTGAGCTCTCTTGTACGAAGCAAATGAAAGTTATTATAATTATTTGCATGACTCTTGATATGGAAGGCACAACTTCAAGAGGTCCACTAATAGCATCTTGTGGTTTCTGAGCCCACACATCTGTGGCGCATCGCAAATGGGCACACAACTTTTTCCTTGGACAGCTGATGTACTCAGCCCTGATGGGGAGTGGGGGATCTCAGGAAAACAAGTGAGAGAATTCTCAAATTCACAGAATCATGGACTACCAGATACAAAGGGGCCTTCCCATCTACAGTAGAACCTTGATGGGTTGAATCAGTGGCCTCCAAACTTCTTGTTCCCATGCTTTTAGCAGGAATGCATTTTTGCATATAACTTTCCAATATATGCCTATTTATTCATTTATAGACAATAGATGTGTACTAATATAAATGGGCATTTTAAAAACATACACAAAATTAGACATTTTTAAAGTGTAAAAAAAGTTCTAATATTTTCTTCTGGCACCACACAGTGGATCATCTTGCCCATTCTTGAGAGTACATGCCTTTAACATTGAAGTCCACTGGACAAATCAGGACACTGAGGACCAGAGAGATGAAGTGATTTGCTCCAAGCCAACTGGCTAGTTGGTGACTGAGCTGACATGCTGGCCTGAGATCGCTGTTTCCTGATAATGCGCGTGATCTCAGAGTTTACCCTATATTGCAAATTACCTCCATGGAATTACCACACCCTATTCTTAGTTTATTCCTGATGCATCAAGAGGCTTTTTTTTTTTCTTAGACCTCTTTTTCATTCTTTTAATTTCTGAGAACAGACCTGAGAGAGTGGGTATAGATTTCCTTCACATAACAATGTGAGAAATAATAGAGCAAGATTGTATGTCACAGATGAAAATGCTATATTTATGCCTCATTGTAATCCATTCATTGCTTTATGGATCCAAAGTCCCCTTGGGAGTGTCACAAATCCACATAATGTTCCTGAGTGCAGGATTTGGCATTTGGATCTCTGACTTAGCTGTCAGATATGTAAAATCACATGTAGCCAGACAACTCCCTCGGGACTCCACAGCTGCAGATACTGAAGAGTGCGAGTTATTCCAACAAGGTCAGCATTAATTTAGGCAGATACAGTTCCCCTTGAGCTACACTCTTACTGCCCCATCTAATTTTAAGTGTGACTCAGAGGGCTCTGGTGGAGCGAATCCAGTAGCATTCTCTTCTCCAGCACTTTCTCCAAGCTCAACAAGGGTGACTTTCAAAGGAGTCACATGCCTTTAAGGGAGACAACGGTTTTCCCAAGAGTCTGAACTTCTGAGGCTACTGCACAGCTCTGCTTACCTGTCTTCACCCTCCTTTACCTGCTTTTCAGCCTCTCAGGATCCCTCTCTACCCAGTGGCCTTGCTTTAAGGATCCCGTACATGCCATGCAAATTGCTGGGTGGATGATTCTCTTCTGGACCACGTAACCATGACTTGGATATCCTCTCCTATGTCCAAATTGCTTCTAATCAATGGTTGATGAAAGATGTAAATGAATACTAAGTACACTTTAGAAATAAAATGAGCTGACAGGTAAGTTAGCATTCCCCTCATCACCAGGGGTACACCAAGAGAAATTATTTTACTGGGTGAAAGGTTGGAAGTGAATGGTCTCTGGGCTGGGTGCGATGGCTCCCCCTATAATCTCAGCACTTTGGAAGGCCGAGGCAGGCAGATCACCTGAGGTCGGCAGTTTGAGAACAGCCTGACCAACATGAAGAAACCCCGTCTCTACTAAAAATACAAAATTAGCCAAGTGTGGTGACGCATGCCTGTAATCCCAACTACCTAGGAGGCTGAGGCGGGAGAATCGCTTGAATCCAGGAGGCGGAAGTTGTGGTGAGCCAAGATTGCACCATTGCACTCCAGCCTGGGCAAGAAGAGCAAAACTCCATCTCAATAAGAAGAAGGAGAAGGAGAAGGAGAAGGAGAAGGAGAAGAAGAAGTGGTGAGTGGTCTCTCCATTCCCTTCCAAATCACTATTAGAAAAAACAAAGAACATAGAATCAGAGGGCCTGGATTTAAAATCTCCCTCTGCTAGTTAGTAACTGAAGCACCTAGCACACAAAGAGACAAGAAATATTTGTAGCCAGGCACGGTGGCTCACGCCTGTAATCTCAGCACTTTGGGAGGCCAGAGTGGTAGGATCGCTTGAGCCCAGGAGTTCATGACCAGCCTGGGCAACATAGGGAGACCCTGTCTCTACAAATTTTTTTCTTAAAAATCAGGTGGGTGTGGTGACACATGCCTGTAGTCCCAGCAATTCAGGAGGCTGAGGTGGGAGGATCACTTGGGCCTGGGAGGTCAAGGCTGTAGTAAGCCGTAATCATGCCACTGCACTCCAGACTGGGCAACAGAGAGAGAACTTGTCTCAAAATTAAAAGGCAAAAAAGGAAATATTTGTTACATTGTGCAAGTTATTTCACTTTTCTGTGCTCAAGCTTTATCTGTAAAATAGGAATGATGATCACTGTCTTACAGGATTGTTACGATGATTTACATTTAATAAATATTTACGTAAATAAACTATATGATGGAAATTAAAAAGAAACAAGTAATGTCTACATGTTTTAATCAACTAGTGCTTAGCAGTTCTTAAAAGGGCACTCTACAGCTGATTTTTCCATGAGGCCTCACCACATGGCACCATTTCCAAGCGTGACAAGCTTGAAAACCATTGCTGTCCCCCTCGGTTCCCTCCTAAGAATAATGAACCGCATCACAATTGACCTCAGCATAAATGAATGGTCACTGAGCCAGACCTATCCATCCACTGCTTTTCAAATCCCTCGCTCTCAATTCCAGTTGCTGCCTCAACAACTGGTTTTATGTAGGTTTCCTGCAGGCACAGCCTCATCATGCCTCACCGTAGGCACATACCTCATGTTTCTCACGTTCGTCCCCAGCACCTCTGTTTCTAGAACCTCTGCAGAGCCCACATACAGATAAAGCAATGAGAAAGAGTTGACAACCCTAGGGGTAGACCTTGGTCAATACAGGACAGAAACAATCCCATACATCTATGCCCCTTGAGGAAGAGATTCTGAGACATGTTCCATCACGCTTCTAGAGAGTCCTGGGGAGCAAGCCTCCAGTTGCCCTAGAGGCAGCTAACTCAATGACACATCTGCATTTTGAATCTCTCTCCTTCCCTGTTTAGTGCCCCTGTCTCGGCTATGTTTCCTAAATAAGCCACTCAGCCTGCATGGCAGTCTTTGTCTCAAGCTTTGCTTTTGTGAGGAGCTGGGGCTGAGATACCACCATGTGCCAGACACTATCTTCGGTTATCTCATGCATCCTCTAGGGCGGCAGTCCTCAACCCTTTTGGCACCAGGGATCAGTTTCGTGGAAAACAATTTTTTCATGGACCAGAGTGGTTAGGGGTCAGGGGTGGGGGGATGGTTTCAGGATGACTCAAGTGCATTATATTTATTACACACTTTATTTCTATTATTAATACATAATAAAATAATTATACAAGTCACTATAATGCAGGATCAGTGGGAGCCCTGAGCTTGTTTTCCTGGAACTAGATGATCTTATCTGGGGGTGATGGGAGACAATGACAGATCATCAAGCATTAGATTCTCATAAGGAACCCACAACCTAGATCCCTCACACGCAATAGGGTTCACGCTCCTGTGAGAATCTAATGCCGCTGCTGATGTGATAGGAGGCGGAGCTCGGCTGGTAATGCAAGTGATGGGGAGCGGCTGTAAATACAGATGAAGCTTCACTCACTCACCCTCCGCTCACCTCCTGCTGTGTGGCCTGGTTCCTGACAGGCCACAGATCAGTAGTGGCCCGTGGCCCAGGGGTTGGGGACCCCTGCTCTAGAGGGGTCAGCAAGCCACAACCCATGGGCCAAATCCTGCCTGCCTGCTGCCTGTGTTAAAAAAAAAAAAAAGGGGTATTGGAACACATCCGGGCTCATTTGTTCACATACTGTCTGTGGATGCTTCTGAGCTACTGCAGCAGGGTTGAGTAGTTGTGACAGAGACCACAGGGTGCACAAAGCCTCAAATATTTACTGTCTTGCCCTTAATAGAAGGAGTTTGCCAAGCCCTGTTCCAAGTGTGATGCCTGGACCACCTGCAGCAGGATCACTGTGTTAAAATGCAGATTCGTGTCTCCAGTTCCATGCAAGCCAGGCGGCAGAGGAAGCATCAGAAGAGCCAAGTGGAACATGGTCCATGATGGGTCACAAGCCCAGAGGCCCAGGAAAGCCAGGTAGGGGGCACAGTGAGTAAAGTCAGATGAGTCTGGTGTTCTGGCCAAGACACAATTTTGTGATATGAAAAGTGAGTAGGAAGAGTTTTCTATTCCATGAGAAAATATACTTTTGCCTGAAAGTTTCCTGAAACAGCCTGCTCTTCAGGCTCTTCTGTCCCTCTCTTGCTATTTTGCTATAGACATAGGCACTAGGCCTGGGGATATCATTTTCATATCTTTTTTTTTTTTTTTTGAGATGGAGTCTCACTCTGTCACCCAGGCTGCAGTGCAGTGATGTGATCTCTTCTCACTACAGCCTCTGTCTCCCAGTTTCAAGTGATTCTCCTGCCTCAGCCTCCCGAGTAGCTGGGATCACAGGCGCATGCCAACACACCTGGCTAATTTTTGTATTTTTAGTAGAGACAGGGTCTCATCATATTGGCCAGGGCGGTTTCAAACTCCTGACCTCAAGTGATCCGCCTGCTTGGCCTCCCAAAGTGCCCGGATTACAGGTGTGAGCCACCATGCCCAGCCTGGGAAATCATTTTCTGTGATGAGACAAGGGTGCAGTCTGAATGGCCACCCACACTGGACCCCAAGGCCAGGCAGACAACAGGGTGAACTAGGGTTCCTATCACCCTGGAGAAGCCCACCCTGTATAAGGGTGCAGCCTCTCCTCAGCTCCAGGTGGCCATTGCCACATGCAAACTGTGGGCCCTAAGATGCTAGATTTTGTGATTTGCTTTTTACAAGGCAAACAGACTTTTGAATTCTTCTGTAAAACTACTCAATTTTGAAGGTTGGCCTGTATTTCTTTTTAATTACTCTATGGGTTAAATAAGACAAGACTTCAGGCCAGATTCCAAATAATAGGCATTGATATATTGTTTGCGGTGGGGGTTGATTTGTTTTTGTTTGTACCTCTGGCTAAACTGTAATTAAAATAACAGTTACCGGGGCTGTTGTTCAATAGGTGGGTCCAGGTGCGGTTGTTAAAATGTTGAAATATAGTTGTACCACCTGGTAAACAGACACTGTCCCTCACCTCCCATCCTTAGCCCATGTCCCCTATCCTGGGGGCCTCCTCTCTCCAGGACCTTAGGACCTCCGATTCAAAGGCTGAAGGTTAACGCCGGGGCAGCAGGGCCTCCTGTGGCTCCGAGGCTGCCATCCTTTCTGACTAGCTGGTGTTTGTACCTGCCAGTGGGTCAACACATTTACTATGCCCTGCCCCCTGTAACCATCAGAGCAGTGCGTGTTCTACCTATGGCAAGAGCTTTATACTTTTCCATTTAACCCTCAGACGGTTGGATCAGGTAGGACTGACACTGCTGTGAAATCCAAAGTTAACTTTAAATTGATCAGAGTCTTGATTATGCATCCTTTCTCTCCTCCTTTCTTCTTTGGGAACCCCATTCACTCCTCCTGCCCTCAGCCCTCCAAGTCCTCCTGAATGCTCCAGAAGAGAAACAGTTCCTCAGATGATCCCTTTCCACTAAGGAGTAAACAAATCGCTACTGGCTAAAATGTGGCTGGGCTTAAATCTTTGTTCTGTAACTCACAAGGCATTTGACCATGGGCAACTCACTTCTCCTTTCTGAAGTTAGGTTTTCATTTGTCATGGGTAATAGGCCCAACGTTCCTGGGCTTTTTGAGAATCATGTGGATGAGAATGTGAAGCTCCCATCACAAAGCAGGCATCCAACAAATCACAGACCTGTTCTCCTCGTTCTTGAAGGCCCCACCCTAGACGGGCTGTGCTGATTGTAACTGGAATCGGTTCCTTGAACTAAAGGGAACAAGCATGAATGACAAGTCCTTCCCTGGATGTCCATGGGACGGCCAACACCCTTACTTTTTAACCTTTGGCACTATGTACCTTTCCACTGTGCACTTACTGTGTTTTTAAACCATGCATTTATCGCTGCAACCCTTTGATGAATATCTGCTTCTTCATCAGCCTGTCTATGTCCTATGAGGATCTGTTTTCTAGTAAATCCTTGGCCACGCAATGCCTGACACTATGAGTGAACAAAGGGCTGTGTGATTGTAGAGGGAAATGCCAGGCATTGGTGTCCATGTGTGGACAGGCGATTTTGGATATGGTCTTTCTCAGGATCCTCGTTCTTATAATGTGGTACCCTTTTCCATCTTGTTCAGCTCCTAGCTTCAGTGCTGCTCTACTGGTTAAAGACAATCTCTGAGGATATTTGTGAATGCAAAAGAGTATGCTTCTAAAGCCCAGGCTTGGGAAAAGTAGGGGCAAAGAAGGCATGAAACAGGCTCTGACCTACCCAGTTTTGGGGGTGGGAGGATAAGGAATAGGCTTTGGGCTACAGGGCTCTGGACAAACTCAGAGGCTTTTCTAGGGTTTTTCCACAAAATCTGGATATTGCACATAGATATTGCCAGCTCACAGGCACCCTCCAGAGCAAAGATGAGCAGCATTGCATTTGTGTCTGTCTTTTCCTTCAAGGCCTGGACCCGATAACTCAGGTCCTAATTGGACCAAGCCTATAAAGTCTCTACCTCTACCCCTACTCCCAAGCTCTGAGATGAACAGTCAGCTTCTCGGGACATTTGCATTAGCAGAGGTCTTTGCCAGCGACCACTCTCAATTCTCTTTAGCTTTAGGCTTCCTGAGACCACACTGCGGCAAAACAAAGTGCATTAGCAGGGCGCCTAAAATACCAGCTGTCAACACCAGACCATCAAGAAATTTATTTCGTCACAAATGCTTTATGGAGATATGTTTTTTTAAAGGTGAGGAGAATAAAAACCTTGTTCCAATAGATGATTCACCAGTGCTATTGAAGTAAAAGGAATTGCTTGTATCTCCAAGCCTGGATTTATGGAAGAACCGCCTCCATCATCCCCTCCTCCTGGCAACCCAACACAAAACAGAATCAGAATCAGACCAGTTTCCTGAGCCTGAGAAAAGCGAATCCAGTTCCCCAATGGACCACATCACACAGGGACACCAATGCTTTCCTTTCATATTCACAATGTTGTACAGGATTTTTGCTTTGGGTTCTCCATTTTACAGGCCAGTGTTCTATTACTTGCCCTGCATGAGCACAAATGTGTTCTAGTTGCTGAAGATGTAGAGACATGAAACAGGGCAAATCTCTTTTTCAGCATACATTACATTTGGTGGTGTGGGTGGGGATGGTTGCAGCATCCACCCGGAGATGAACAGCAACTCAGGGGGGTGGTGGATCAAACTCCAGGTGGGTCAGCAGGGACCACTGAGAGGGTTCAGAGGTGGGAGCGTCCCTGCTGGGAAGGCTTCACTGCTGTGATTGTTAGTTACTAGATGAAAAGCAAGCTGCGAGATGCAGAGACTACACTCCAAGTTTTCTCAGAGTTCCTCCCATGTCAAGCACAAGAGCCAAGGTTGAGCCATAATTGCTGGTTGAGTGAATGCTGCGGAGCATCCCCCAGTGTTCCTCTTTCATGTGAACCTCTTGGTACCATGCAAGCACCAACACGATCATCACAGTGACTTTCAGAAATTCCACAAAAATCTTAACGACCGCCTTTCTGGGCCACAGTTTCCTCCTCTATAAAATAAGGAGGCTGGACTGGATAAACTCGATTATCTCTGAGAGGCATGAACAAGGTTTTCTTTTGCTTTCTGATAACAGAAGTCATGTAAATTCAGATGATATTTTAAAAAGCATAAAGAAAAAAGCAAAAATTATATAATGTCACCATCTTTAAACAGTCACTATTAACCTCCAAATGTATATCCTTGAAGATATTTTTTCAAGTAGTTT
This sequence comes from Homo sapiens, assembly GCF_000001405.40. Taxonomy (NCBI): domain Eukaryota; kingdom Metazoa; phylum Chordata; class Mammalia; order Primates; family Hominidae; genus Homo; species Homo sapiens. Next base: position 14,557,998 of record NC_000006.12, read on the forward strand.
TTTGTCTTTTCACAAAAATCTTAGTGCATTATACATTATCTATTAACATTTGAAAAAGTGTATCCATCATGAATGTCTGCAGGTCAGTGTGGCCATAGCTACACCTCATTTTTTTTTTACTTGAAGTTCTGAGGTACACGTGTAGAACACGCAGGTTTGTTACATAGGTGTACATGTGCCATGGTGGTTTGCTGCACTTATCACCCCATCATCTAGGTTTTAAGCCCCGCATGCATTAGGTATTTGTCCTAATGCTCTCCCTCCCCTTGGCCCCCATCCCCCGACAGGCCCGGGAGCTACAGCTCATTTTTAATTCCTGCATGGCTTTCTACTCAGTACGTCGCCAACTCAGGGACATTTCGATTGTTTTCAATTTTCACTATTAAAAATAGGACAGCAATAAATATCATTTGACAATATTTCTGTACATTTGTCTACCCATTTCTGTGGGATTCATTTTTAGAAATGAAATTGCGGGGCCAAAAGATGTATTTATACAAGATGCCAGAAAGCCCCGCAGCAAGACCGCAGCGCTTGCCGGTCCCCATGGCTGGGTCTGAAGGCTCCCGTTTCCCCCTCATTCCAGTTATCATCATTCTTTTTTAGCTTTGCCAATCATATGGTTAAAAAATAGGAACTTTTGTTTTTGTAAATTGAATCCTATAACTCAAGTATCACTTTTTGCCTAATGTGATGCCTAGCAAACACTTGGTATGCAATAAGTGCTCATTAATTTTTATGAGTCCTGTTAGTCATCAAACTGAGCACCTACTAGAAAGTTTAGAAAGAAACTTGTGATATATTTATAAGAAAAAATATACTGTGTTGTCCTATGTGCTTTTTCTTAGCCTCCTACCTGTTTAGATTTTAGTCCCATCTTTAAGAAAAAAAGTCCTCAGCATCCACTGTTAACATTTTTGTTTCGGTTTTTTAAATAGCCACTTTAAATTGTTCTTTTCTTTTCTTATTGTATGCATCATATGTGTTGCCTTAAAATCTAAGACAGAGAATGAATGGGTGGATGAATGAGTTAGTTAAAGAAAAAAATCAACAGTGGTTGCCGGTGATGGTGGGGTCATGATGACATCATGTCACGGAGCCTCCTCATTCCCTTCTAGACCATAAAGATAGTGTCGCTCCCAGGAAGATTCTAAGTGTAGAGAAGGCTTTTTTGGAGGGTGTCCAATGGGCCCTTATCTAGATATGTGGCACACAAGGAAAGGTTTCTAGAGACATATATGCATGGAATCGAGATGGTGCCAGGGGATGCAACTTAAAAGTCATACGCATTGTTGGCTGGGTGCGGTGACTCACGCCTGTAATCCCAGCACTCTGGGAGGCCAAGGTGGCAAATCACAAGGTCAGGAGTTCAAGACCAGCCTGACCAATATGGTGAAACCCTGTCTCTACTAAAAATACAAAAATTAGCCAGGCGTGGTGGCAGGCGCCTGTAAGTCCCAGCTACTCGGGAGGCTGAAGCACGAGAATCGCTTGAACCCGGGAGGCAGAGGTTGCAGTGGGCCAACATTGAGCCATTGCACTCCAGCCTGGGTGACAGAGCGAGATGCCATCTCAGGAAAAAAAAAAAAAAAAAAGGCATTGTTGAGATGGGAGAGGGGATGGCATGAGGTACTGGGTAGGGGAGGGAGGGGACTCCAGAGCAAAACGGTGGACACTGAAGGAAGTGTCCAAGACAGATCTAAAACCATAATTTCTGGGCTCTGTTCTGGGACACTAAGCTGAAGGGACACTTTTTGGTGAAACTAGGTGAGTGTTCATTAAATGTCTCCATACCAAACTCCAGGGAAATTGGACCCAGATGAATTATTAATAAATGGACTCAGTAGAGTGCTCCATGAAGTAGAGCCTTCCACATCACTGGGAGTATTCAAATATCCTGCAGACTCACAGGATAATAAAGAATCTGTCAGGATTCCCGTAGAAAAGCTTCCTGCATTATGTGACTAGTTGCCAGTGGTATTTTTCATTACCTTACAGTCTGTCACTATTTGATCAGTCAATTCAGCTCAACAATTAAGGGGGAAGAAAAGGAGTCAAACTGATTGTTTTACTTTTTTGTAAGAATTGATTTTTCAACTCGAATAAAAATGTTGATCCCATTTTGCATGTGGAGATAGTCAATTTAGAAGAATTGTTCTTGCTGGCCTAAGCCCAGGGAGACAAAAATTAAATTTAACACTGCAGCAGAGGCTGGCATGTGGGAGAAGGTGAATGATTCACTGAAATCCTTAGAGCTTTTCCCTCTGGTTCCTTAGTGTTTTGCAATCTGGTAGCTACAGCAGAGAGGTATTAATTATTGACAATTCAGTCAACATTAAGCAAACATTTATTTGGCTGATGATTCAATGGTGCAGAATCACTGACTTTCTCTGGCTAGGGTAATCATGAAAGATACTGAATGATGGGCATAGCTGTAAAAAGTAACCCAGAGAGCAAGGTCTACCAAAGTCTGAGACTGTTTGCCTCATTATCTGGACAATGAAGTTACAAAGCAGAGTCCCGAGGGCCAGTATTCTTCCCTTTGGACTCTCAAGCTAACCAAGAGGAATGGAAGCCATCAGGGGTTATCCTTGTGACTTGCACCCTGTGGGGGGCATTTCCAAGGGGAAGCATCCACTGCAAATGCACACACTGTTTATAACTGAGAACCAGGTGAAAGGCACAAGAACTGTCTCTTTGTGTGCTACATATTAGGGGTATTCTCGAAGAAAATGCAAGGGTCAATGCAAAAAGAAAACCAGGGGGTTCAAAATGTGGTGAAAAAATTAAAACTGAAATCAAGAGGAAGAGATTAAGGAAATGAAGAAATGTTTCATTCTTAGAGCCTTTCAAGTGATATGAGACTTGTCCGATGAAGGTGAGGCTCGAAATTCAGGGACAAAAAGTTGAATGATGAGGAGTCTGACCAGTTCTTGGTGAATGCAAGGGAATTCCCTAATAGCTTAAGAAGAAAGGGGCATGCTGTGATATTGGGATTCTCAATATCCCAGGGAGGGGGAGGGAGGTCTTTGTAGGACAGCCATGACTGAATTTCTTGGATTGAGTACATGGGATGTGACAGAAGGCCCAAGATTTATTACACCTGCCAACTACATCCATCTCAACTATTCTCAAGAGTACAAATAACATCTTTGAAGTGACCAGAAATATATTTTTAAAGGTTTTGAAATTTAAAGAAAGAAAGAAATTGAGGATTTGGAGGCACAGATAAGGCTTTCATTGCTTCTTTACATCAATAGCTGGGATTCAGAACAAGAGAGGGAAGTTGAGGAAGTGAGCAGTTGGCTCTATAGACAATATTTGGGCAGGATCTAGGTTGCTGAACCATGGTTTAAGATGCCAGAATGGTGCAATCTTGGCTGAGAATAGAACGAATTTCATGTGGACAGAAAAGAAAGAATTCGCCCAGTAGCTCACTGACTCAATTAAGAATGTTTTACAGATACTGGTGAGGTTGTGGAGAAAAAGGAATGCTTTTACACTGTTTTTGGGAGTGTAAATTAGTTCAACCATTGTGGAAGACAGTGGGGTGATTCCTCAAAGACATAGAGACAGAAATACCATTTGACCCAGCAATCCCATCACTGAGTATACACCCAAAGGAATTTAAATTATTCTATTATAAAGACACATGCACATGTATGTTCATTGCAGCACTATTCACAATAGCAAAGACATGGAAACAACCAAAATGCCCATCAATGATAGAATGGATAAAGAAAATGTGGTATATGTACGCCATGGAATACTATGCAGCCATAAAAAAGAACAAGACCATGTTCTTTGCAGAGACGTGGATGGAGTTAGAAGCCGTTATCTTCAGCAAACTAACACAGGAACAGAAAACCAAACACCACATGTTCTCACTTATAAGTGGGAGCTGAATGATGACAACACATGGACACATGGAGGGGAACAACACACAATGGGGCCTGTGAGTAGGGGGTGGGTAAGGGGAGGAAGAGCATCAGGAAAAATAAATAATGGATGCTGGGCTTAATACCTAGGTGATGGGATGATCTGTGCAGCAAATCACGATACATGTTTACCTATGTAAAAAATCTGCACATCCTGCACATGTACCTCTGAACTTAAAAGTTGGAAATTAAAACAAGAAAAGATAAATAGGAAATCAACAATTTTAGAAAGAATAACAAAAAAAATTTTTTAATGGTTCAAGTCTGGCAGATGTTAATAAACTTTTTAGGGCAGAGAGAGATAGGCTGGCCTGCTTCTAAGAAAGGACCCTGCCTAGCTGCAAAGATGGCAGCTAGGGAGGGCCCTCAGAGGTGAACTCCTTGAGATCCACCTTGGCTTTTGAGCCAAGGCCATACTCTTCTCTGGGAGACTCCAGACAATGCCGGAGCAAGGCTGTGGTCCCAGGGCTCAGCATCTAAGCCCAATATGGCCTCCTGTAAAAGGCTATCTTTGCTCCTGACCTCTCGGTTGGGCTGGCAGACTCTGGCAAATGTGTGCAGAAGTCTGGCGGCTCCCCTGCCCAATTCTGCTTCCCTGTTTTCCTTTCCCAGGTGTTTTAGAGCCTGATGCCACCTCATCATCTGTGTCCCAAAGGTGGTACCAGGAGCAGCCCAAGAAAGCAGGCAGTAAGATAGGGCTTGGGCCAACTGTCCATTGTTGAATGAAAAGATAGATAAATATAGTCTACACATACAATGGAATGCCAATCAGCCTTTAAAAAGAATGAAATTCTAACACATGCTACATGGATGCACCTTGAGGTTATTACACTGAGTGAGAGAGGACAGACACAGAAAGACAAATACTGCATAATCTCACTTACATGTATCTAAAAAAAGTCAAACTCATAGGAAGAGAAGAGAATTGTAGTTACCAGAGGCTGGGGTGGGTAAGAGAAATAGACAGTTATTTAATCAAGATAGAGTTTCAGTTCTGTAAGATGAAGAGAGCTCTGGAGATAGACAGCAATGTGAATGTACTTAATGGCACTGAACTGCCTACTTAATAAGAGTTAAGTTTATGTTATGTATATTTTACCACCACTAAAAATAATTTTTTTTTCCCTAAAAGGATGGGTCTTAAGGACTGGATCACTCACAACTGACTAGCAATGAGGACTTCATCCCATGTGGTATGTGGGTCATCTATAGTCTTTGACACAAGGGGGTAGCCCAACTTCTAAGACTTTTACCCTGGTAACCTGGGAAAATATTGCCGTGGCTAGGCATGAGCAGGCCAGTGCCATAATTCAGATGTTTGATATGTGTGTGTGGAGTGGGGAAGGTAGAATGCAGACAAGCTCACTGTGGCCTCATGGTTATTAAATTGCATTGCCACTCTACAGAGGTATACTGAAAAGCTAAATGCAGTTAACAAACAATTGAAACCGAAGTGTGAAAGCCAGAGGGCCTCCTTGAATCTTACAAGAAGGTCTTTATCTCCTGCAGCAGCAGAGCAGAAAAAGCTAAAGACCAAATTCAGGTTTTAATAGATGGAGGCCCAGCTCCAAGACACTGGATGCTAAGATAAGCCTAAGCACATTTGGTGTTGCAAAGTTGAGGTCCTGGCTGGGAAAGCCTGGGGCTCTGACATGGGGGATGGGGACAATACCCCACAATGCCTTGGCTCCCCAAACTCCTGTGAATGCAGAACCTGCAGAGGTGGCTCATTCCTCCATACTAATAACTAGTGCTTCCTTCTTGTGCTAAGAAACTATGGAAGCCTCCACCTTCAGGGCAACCATGCCCCATCTATTCCTCTGTCCACCAGAACTTGCCCCCACTTCCCCTCTTGGCTGGTAAGCCAATAGCTGGGGTAAAGTCTGACTATAACCCAGAAGGGGACATACTAATTCTGATAAAGGAAGGACTGTAACACCAAAGAATCTGCAAGAATTAGCTAACATGCACCAGTAGGAGTTGGGGAGTACCCATGAGACTGGATTCTAAGGGTTCTTATTTGGGGGCTAGAATATAAGACTGTGTATAGAAGAGTACATTGACATGGGGGCACTCTCTCAGGTTATGGCTTTTAATAACCTAGCAAGAACCCCAGGAAATAATACAAACTAGCTGCTAGGATGGTTCCTAAAAGGCTGGAAAAAAGCCATGGCCCAGGCTAAGCAATGTTGAAACGCCTGAATTGTCATGGGAGATGGAGAAGGAAGAGATTGACAGGCTTAGAGAAATGGGCATGGTAGAGTGGACATATTACATGAGATCAGAAGACCCACTGGAGTTCTATGTTAACCAAGAAGGACTAGAGCCCACACAATCAGGTAGCCTATCGGGAGGGACATCAGCATCACTGAGAATTTCAGCAGTGGCTGTCCTCTTCAGGCCAGGGCTAATAGTAAAGAGAAGCTGTCACAAAATTTGGCTCATTGATAGCAGCAGGGACTATGGAACCTTGAAAAAACAGAAACAGTCATTAATATCAGAAGCCAGTGGTTGCAATTATTGAAATAACCAGCAATACAGGATCAGCAGCCAAAAGGACAGACAGTTGTGAAGATGGTTAACAGAATATGGCATCCGTAGGGGCAAAATATATAGGCAGCCAATGAGGGTACTACTTAACATATAGAGTCAAAGTAAAAGGAGGATGGATGAGCAGAAGGCTGGGAAAGGACACCTGTATTAGTCCATTTTCATACTGCTATGAAGAAGTACTTGAGACTGGGTAATTTATAAAGAAAAAGAGGTTTAATGGACTCACAGTTCCACATGGCTGGGGAGGCCTTAAAACCATGGCAGAAGGCAAAGGAGGATCAAAGGCACATCTTACATGGCAGCAGGCAAGAGAGCATGTATAGAGGAACTGCCCTTTAGAAAACCATCAAATCTCATGAGACGTACTCACTATCATGAGAGCAGCATGGAAAAAACCCACCCCTGTGATTCAGTTACCTCCCACCAGGTCCCTCCCATGACACATGAGGCTTATCAGAGCTACAATTCAAGATGAGATTTGGGTGGGGACACAGCCCAAACCATACCAACATCCCAGGTAAAAAGTTATGATCCATTGTCCAGTTCCTAGACCTGAGGCAGCTTTCAGATCCAAAATTTGTTAATTGCAGAGGTCCCAGGAGGAGAGACCCTGAAGACTATAATGAGTCCCGCAATCCTTCCCCAAAGAGATTTATGGCCATTTACTTGGGTGACTGTACACTAGAGAAAGGAGAATACCTGGACTTTTTGAGGACAGTTGGACACAGGGTCTGAGTTGACATTTCCAGAGACCCAGCCCCTTGTTAGAGTGAGGGTATGTGGGGTCAGGTAATAAACAGAGTCCTACCAAAATCCAACTTACAGTAAGTTCACTGGGCCCAGGGACACACCCAGTGGCTATTTTCCCAGTTCTCACACATATTGGGAGTGACATACTGAACAATGGGGACAATCCTCACTTTAGATCCTTGGTCTGGAGTAAACTCTAGCATAGTGGGAAAATGTAGAAGCCTCTGTAACTGCCCTCCCTACCACCCCCAGCCAAAACAGTGAAATAAAAAATCATCATCACATTTGGGGATGGGAGATGACACGTTAATGCCCCTCTTAAAGATCTAAACATTCAGAGGTGGTGCTCCCTTACATAGCTCTGCTGAATTCACCCATCTGATCCCTGCAGAAATGGAAATGGCCCGCTAAGGAAGCAGCTGAAGTGACACCAGCAAAGGTGGGACACTACCCTCCAGGTGCAGTACCTGCAGTGAATCAGACACCGCTATCTGATGCTGTGGGATGTTGTGACCCCAACAGGCTAAATACATGGATCTGGGAACAAAGGGATGTATCCAGTAGTGGCCCACTTACCATCATTCCCAATGACCTACTAGGAAGCTTTGTTCTTCCCATTCATGGAATTCTGGGCTTTGCAGGGTTAAAAGACCTGGACCCCAAAGGGACTCACTGAACCACAAGATTGGGCTCCTGCCTGGGCACTTTGAACTCCTATGTCCAAGGACCAGCAGGCAATAAAAGGAGTCACCATCTTGGCACTGGTAATGGACCCTAATTAGCATGAGGAGAGAGAGATCTGCTATTACACATGGCGGCATTGGGGAGCACAGGTAGACATGGGCAATCCACTTGGATACATATTGGTCCATTCTCACTCAATTGCTCAACTTTGACTGTGAATTAAAAAGTACAGTAACCCTGGCCTGAGAAGGTTATATGTACCAGTGGGCTTTTCGCCCAGCATTGAGGAGTGTCATCTGCTGCCATCTTCTAGCAGTTAACTTCCTCAGGTATACCAGCTTTTGAGCAGAGGTCACAGTTTTCTCCAGGTGGCCCCAGCTAATGACTAAGAAAGACCATGGTCCAAGGGCCCAGCCATTTCTGCCAACACAGAACCTCTCTAAAGACCAGCTTTGCCCTGGACCTCCTTGCTGGGCTGGCAGAAACTTTGTCAGGTCAGCATCACCGCCTGACAGCTCCCCTGGCCCAATCCTGCCCCTCCCATTTCCTTCTATGGGTGTCACTCCCAAGGCATTTGCTTTCCTAACTCCATCCCAACATCTGCTTCCAAAAGAACCAACTGACACACTGTTGATCCAGGTGATGGGTATGAACATTTATACTAGTCTTTCTACTTTGCAGCATTTTAAACATTTTCATAACATAAAGTTTTTAAAAAGCAAGGAAAATTTAAAAGAGAGGGGAAAATGTATTAAACATTAGGTATATATTAGAAAGCTAGGTGTTGTGGCTTGCCCCTGTAATCCCAACACTTTGGGAGGCTGAAGTGGGAGGATCGCTTGAGCCCAGGAGTTCACAACCAGCCTGAACAATATAGCGAGATCCTGCCTCCACAAAAAAAGTTTAAAAATAAAACATACAGATGAGGAGAAATAAAAATCCACAGATAAATTCATAAAACTAACTGCTCTGAAAATCAGAAGATATGACATAGGAAAAAATAAGAATGAGTTATGTTATCTGTGATTTTCTTTTTACTAGAAAACAATTAAGCAGAGGGAAACAGAAAAAAACTGTTATAACTTCAGATGTCTTACTTTGTGCCAGTCATAAGAGCATGAGTAACAAAATGAATTGGAGAGAATCTGAAAAAAAAAAATTCTTACAAGATAGGGCAGTAAATATGACCTTATTTCACCAAGCTTGGGAAAAAGTAGACACAAAATTGAAATACACTGATGGAAGCATGACAAATGGGCCTGTTAGGGGAAGAGATTGAATAGAAAGCTATGTCAACAAGACAGACGTCTATGTGAAAACTCAGGAACCTGCAGGTGGATGCGTGCCAAAGAGTGAACAGATGAGAAGACAGGGATAGAGGGATATTGTTGTGGGCAGGTCAGTGTTTCTCAAATCCGGTTAATCATCAAAATTGCTTAGGAGAGCTTTAAAATGCAGTTTTTTGGTCAGGTGCAGTGGCTCACACCTGTAATCCCAGCACTTTGGGAGGCCAAGGTGGGTGGATCACAAGGTCAAGAGATCGAGACCATCCTGGCCAACATGGTGAAACCCCATCTCTACTAAAAAATACCGAAAAAAATTAGCTGGGCGTGGTGGCATGTGCCTGCAGCTCCAGCTACTCGGGAAGCTGAGGCAGGCAAATTGCTTGAACCCAGAGGGTGGAAGTTGCAGTGAGCCGAGATTGTGCCACTGCACTCCAGCATGGTGACAGAGCGAGACTCCGTCTCAAAACAAAACAAAAAAACAAACAAAAAACAGGAGTTTTTTGAGATCTTATTATATTATAAATTGGAGAGTTGGATCCTAAATTTGTATTTTAACAACTGCTCAACTAATCTCTAATATAGAGATGAGGCTACTAAGCTGGATGAATAGAAAGGGTGATAGAGTACTAGCACATTTTTCTTAAATACCATATAGGTATGAGTTGGTAATGATGGGAGATTTCGACTTTCTAGACATCTGCATTTCATTTAGCCAAAAGCAGAACAGCAGAAAACTTGCCTTACTAAATTTCTAATAAGATTGAGCAAACAAATGGAAAAACCACTATCCTAGATACATTTTGACCAAGTAGGTTAAAGTAATGTTTAGCCAAGAGGATGAGATAAGAGAATTAGGGAAAAGGTCACTGAGTTCACAAAGTTTAGGAGAGCAGAGGTGAAAATAGCATGATTCAGAGATAAAATTCAAAGGTTAAAAAAAAAACACAATCCTTAGGCATGAAGAAGGAAGGTTCATTGTGGTCAGGATGTTTCAGAAATTTCTCAAACATTCAAATCTCACCATGCAGATACAGGTGAGGCCAATGATAAAGAGAAAGAAAACCTCAACAATTGTGAAAACCACCAAACAAACAAACAAACAAAACTACTTGTGTTCTTCTGCTATAGTTTCAACCTTGGTTGTCCACTGGGGTCTTAAAAAAACACAAATGCTTCTATTATTTCTCAAAGTTTTATCCAATTTGTCTAGGGTGGGAAGCCAGCATGAGCAATTTTAAAAATCTCCCCAGGTGATTCCAATATTCACCCTTACCTGCAAATGACTGCTCTAGAAACCCAGGTTTTAAAGGACAGAATAAGAAGAAGGACACAAAAAAATGTATAAGAAAGTAACACAGACAGAATTTTGACAAAATGACCCACAGCTGGCAAAGAAACAAAAAGGCAAAAATAAAACCAAAATACCTTTCAGCTATATTTGGGACTAGTTTGAGATCGAGGACAGGATAGGTCTGTTGTTTGGGAAGACGTCAAGAGACCTTAGAAGGCTGGAAATTAGCCACTATCTTTCCAATTTTCTAAAATGGATAGAAAATGGATTCTGTAAACTATGGATGATTGAGCTTGATATGGATCTCTGACAAGATTCCAGAATCATTACCAATGCAATGCTATAATGGGCACCCAAATGACAAAAAAGTGATTATAGGACCCAGCATGGGTTCACAAGAACAAGTCCTGTTAGCCCAGCCCATTTCCATTCCTCAGTAGGGAGCTGGCCGATGAAGACAATGGACACACATTTCCTTTCAGGCATTTGGACTTCAGCAAAACAAGTGGCCATATCTTTAATGATACACTTGTGGGTAAGACAGAGAATCTTTGAACATTTTAGTGGGTTTCTAACTGTTCTGAAGTTTTATCCAAAGAACACCCATTAATGGACCAATATCAAACCTGGTGAGGGGTTCCTAGTGTCCCAGTGTTCTGCCAGAGAAATAGTTCACTGCCCTGTGTGTGAACTCAATATTTTTGCCAATGACTTGCAAAGAGCATGCTCACTACTTCTACAAGAGATAGGTGTGATAACACAAGGATGATGTGGAAGATTCAGAGCCTAAAAATATTTTTGATGAGCTGGAATTCTGCATTCATTTCTGATTTCCATATTTAAAGAGTCAAGTATTCAATCTGAAATATATCTCAGGAAGAAACACTAGCAGGGCATGGGAACATAAAACCAAGCTACATGAAAAGCAAATGAAGCAACTGTCTTGCTTGCTGATGGAAGACAAAAAGGAATAAGATGCCTATCTTCAATAACTCAAAGTCTGTTTTGTGGAAAAGGGATTAAAGTCATCTTGTGTGTTCCAGAGTGATTAAGCAAGTACTGAGAAGCTTGTAGGGAGGGGGTGTATATGCTGAAAGACTTCCCTATATAGAACCAAGTATTAACAATGAGTTGTCTGAACATTGAACCAGCCTTCTCAGGAAGCTGAGTTCTTCGACACTGGATGTATTGGGGCAGAAGCTGAGTGCTCACTATAAGGGATCTTGTGTAGAAAAATCAGGCAACAAATAAAACTGGATGACTTTGAGGGACATTTAGATCCTCATATGTTATGACTCTGAGAATATAAAGTATACTCATAGAACACATTAGGCACATTGCTACCCAAGGAGGAGGCCAAGAGGTGTTTGTAGAACAACGAGGGTGGGTGGCAGGTAGGAAATCAGGGCAGAGACGGTTAGCCATCCCCTTGGATGGAAGATTGATCACAGATTGGTGCTTCTCTCTGCACAGCAATCCAAAATGGGACAGTCCATTTGTCTACCAGGAGGTGTTTCTAGAACAACGAGGGTGGGTGGCAGGTAGGAAATCAGGGCAGAGACGGTTAGCCATCCCCTTGGATGGAAGATTGATCACAGATTGGTGCTTCTCTCTGCACAGCAATCCAAAATGGGACAGTCCATTTGTCTACCAGGTGGCTTTGGAGTAGGGGCTACCCCTTTCCCAATTCTGCCTGGCCAGCGTGGCCCAGACTAAATACTGAGTTCTAGTAGACCTTTACAAAAGAATTGGAATCAGTATCCCAGAGTTGGGGGGCTGGATGGGGCTGGGGACCTGTGCCTTGGATTAGCTACTTTCTCTCCTTATGCCACATGGTGGGACTCACCCTCTCAGCCTTCCCAGGGAGGCCACGTGAACACATCCTCCCCCTCAGCATCTCCTATCTCCTGCAATCTTCCTCAAGACCCTCTCACAGTGTGCTTTTGAAGCCCCCTCCGCAGACTCCCTGCACCCTTAGGTGAATAGAGCCCCAGAACTGTCTTCTTCTGGGTTGAACATTCTGCTGCCTTAGGCTTCAGGTGGATACCAGCAGAATCTTCCATTGAGAGTTCAGGTGTCTGCTGGCTCCATGGTGGGAAGAGGGCAAAAGGAAGTAGAAGTGGAAGCTCTTATGGAGGCTCATGGCAGGGGAGGAAGAGGTGGTTTTGCTTACAGGTTGATTTCTCTCCACCAACTAGGCTCTTGCCATTTTTCCCGAAAAGTCTCTGAAGATAACACAATTTGCACTGCAAGAATCAAATTCTCTCCTCTAGACCACGTTTGAATCTTATCATTCATTTGTCTCTCTCCTGGCAGGGTCTTTAAGAACTACTAACTTTAAGAACTGTTCTACTATATTAACCGTGTCTTTTAGTTTCTGTTTTCTGATGCTTTGACATCTGGGGTCTTGCTACCCTGAAGGGACTGTTACTTCCAGGGCTAGCCAATTCCTAGAAATAGAGAACAACTCATCATTCAATGTGTCTTTCAAATACAAACCAACTAAACCAGAGCCTACACCCCAACCATCTCCTTTATTGGGTTTTCACACTCTAGGCCACCATCTACCCGTCCTAATGACCCCAGGGCCAAGTACCAGACAACTAGGGACAGCCCCCATGCTACAGAGCCCGCTGGAATTATTCACACTGGCCAATCCTAAGCCTGCTTGCCCCGCCTCACCTGTCCCTCCTGGGAAAACCACGGTCAAGGCTCTTGCCCACCGCTGTTGTCTTCTGTTCTCTCAGGCTCCTAGGTGCCCCAGTGCTCCTAAGTGACCCGCCTGGCCCTGTATGGCCCGCCTCCTGCTTCTAAGGAATTGTGGGTATAACTTCTTCCTTCAGGACATTCCTTTCTGTGTCTGTGTGTCCTACCATACCGGATTAAAAACAACCAACTCAGCCGGGAGCAGTGGCTCATGCCTGTAATCCCAGCACTTTGGGAGGCTGAGGCGGGTAGATCACCTGAGGTCGGGAGTTCCAGAACAGCCTGACCAACATGGAGAAACCCAGTCTCTACTAAAAATACAAAATTAGCTGGGCGTGGTGGCGCATGCCTGTAATCCCAGCTACTCAGGAGGCTGAGGCAGGAGAATCACTTGAACCCAGGAGGCAGAGGTTGTGGTGAGCCGAGATCACACCACTGCACTCCAGCCTGGGCAACAAGAGCGAAAACTCCATCGCAAAAAAAGACAAAAACAAAAACAAAACAAAACACCAACTCACTGATTCCACGTTGCCCTCCTCTTGTCTTATTTTCCACTCAGCAGCCAGAGGGCATTTCCTAAAACATGTATCAGAGCTCGTCATCCCCAGCACCCTTCAGTCACGCTCAGAATAACATCCAGATTGTCCCCGATGCCCACTGACCCGACATACTCTGAGTGCTGCCTGCTGCTCCACTTCCTCGGGCTAAACCAACCACCTAGTAGCCTCTGCCCACTCACTCTGCTCCAGCCACGCAGGCCCTCCTGCTTTTCCTCCAGCAAGCCAAGTTCCCTCACCCCACAAGGCCTTTGGACCAGCTATTCCTGCTTATCCAGTCATCATGTGACCTGCTTCTTCGCCCTCTACATGCCTCTGTCCAGGTTTCAGACCCTACCACCAGCACCACATCCAATCCATCTCCCACTTCCATTTTTCTCTACCCCTTTTTTCTCCTTTCTTTTTCTTCCCTGGTTCATGACCTGAAATCATTTCATATATTCATCTGTTGCTTGTTTATGGCCTCCCTCTCTAGAATGTGACCTTGATGAAGGCCAGCATTTTATCTGGCTTGTTCATTATCGCAACCCACAGTGCCTAAAACCATGCCTGGCACAAAGTCGGTGTTTAACAAATATTCTGTTGATAAACAAATAGTACAAGCTTGGGCCCCGTTGCAAGGCCTTTGAGGTGGAGTGCAGAGGTAATTCCACCTACCTGCCTCACCCCAGCCCACCCCTTCTGGATGTATTGGGGCAGAGGCTGGGTGCTCACTATAAGGGGTCTTGTGTGGAATAATCAGGCATCAAATAAAACTGGATGACTCTGAGGGACATCTAGATTCTCCTATGTTATGACTCTGGGAATATAAAGTATACTTGTAGAACACATTAGGCATATTTCTGTCCATGGAGGCGACCCAGAGGTGTTTCTAGAACAATGAGGGTGGGTGGCAGGTAGGAAATCAGGGCAGAAGAGATGGTGAACATGGATGAAATCGATTTGCTGTATGTGGCTCTATCTAAATCAGGACAGTGGCCCTTTCTTTCCCTGGGGCCTCTGGATGTCATGGGCAGAAATCCTTGGCTAGTCTGACTGAGATCCAGCTACCTGTTCTTGTTAAATGAGAATGTTCTCCAGGTATCTTGGTAATGAGATGGGGGCGGGGTGGGGAGGTTGGGGGGTGGTGGGGGGCAGTTTCCTTCAGAGTGGAGTTAACTCTTGATTGCTCACCGGCTGTTTGTCCCAGGAGGGGAACCTCCAGGCTGCCTCCTGCTCATTGGAGAAACCTCAGGACACAATACAGCAGGTGAGGGGAGGACCCTACCCAGCCAGCCACTAAAACACCCATCTGTAGCTCTAGGTTAGAAAAAAAACTGTGAAGCCTAGATGAGGAATGATAGTGAAGACCCTAGCCAAATAAGGCCTGGGAATTATTGGTAGATTTAATTTATCCAGATTATCCCCTCAAGTCCCACTACTACCACAAGAAATGGACATACCTGCATATTTATTAAATGCTGCTGAACTCAATGCTCCTTGCTAAACATCAATCACTCTTTCACCTGCTCAAATGTTTTTATCAAATGAGTGGAGCATCGCATTTTATCGAATGGCCAGGCTATGATGGCCAACTCTGAGCCCTAGGCAGGGAAGAGTTATACTGAGGAATATTCAAATTGAGATGGTATTTTAAACCTAGGGTACTTTCTAAAGTGTAAAAATAAATAGTCACTTGTGCATGCTAATTATAGCTACCATTTACGTAGAAAGGAAAAACCAGCAACTGAGAGCAATAATTACAGATGATAGTGATCATGATGATGACAAACACTCATCTGACACTTACTATGTGCCTGGCATGGTTCTAAGCACTTTATTTATAATAATTGAGCCTCACACCAGCCTTGTGAAGTAGGTACTTTACCTCCATTTCATAGGTGAGGACATTGAGGCTGACAGTTGGTGGGTGACTTGTCTGGGGTCACACAGCTAATAAGTGGTAGACCAGATGGCCCCTCTCCAAGACTGTTCTCTATACTGCTGCAGCATACTGCCTGGCCTGAGTTTCCTGGATGTGCCTCTTAGCCCCTGGAAGGAAATTAGCAGACTCAGCTCAACTACACATTAAGGGAGAAATGGAGCCTCTCAGAGGCAGGTTCATTTGTTCATGCTTTCACTCATTTCAACTCTTATTTCTTGAGTGTACTCATGCAGGCATTAGGAGGTGGACCTTTAGTGGCCCCAAGGGGTTGATTTCTTAGACCTTTGTTCTTGTTTGCAGTCTCACATTGTCTCTTTTTTTATACCTCCACAGAGGAAAAGAGGACCATCTGTCAGAAAAGAGGACATTGGAGGGAGGAGCAATGCATTTCCTCATCCTTTCAGCATCTGCCCCAGGCTGCAAGTCTGCCCTGTGATATAACCCCAGGGGTGTGCTGAGCCCTGCTTGCAGAGGCTTTCGGGCTAGTTGTGTGCCTCTCTTCCCAAATCCATGACATCACACACTGGTACCTTGAAATTAGCCATGGAAGGACCACGTACACCATGAACTCAACAAATGCTACAAATCAAGGTGTGCATGTGTGCATGAGTGTGTGTATGTGTGTGTGTGGTTTGTCAGAGAGCCAGCTTATCAGCCCGTTACTGCACACACCACAGGATGTCTCCCCAAGAGACAGAATGACAAACCTCATGCCATTCTTCTTTCTCCAGAAACTGCATTTAGGATAATGAAGAGTACACACTTGTCTTCCCTCATGATTCCCTCTAGAGCCATTATCATCTGTCAAGCAGAACTTTCATTATGAACTTTTCACTCCAAAAAGGCACTAAACCACCAAAGTCAACAGACTCACGACTTCCCTCGTCACAAGCACAGACCCAGCATTTCAGATCTGCTGATTCCCTTTCCAAAATTCCCAGCTCACACTTTTGGCTTTTTCATTTACCTCAGCCCTGTTGAATCCCCTACTCCTGGCATAAATTATAGTTAGACCTGCATTTGAATCCCAGCTCTATCACTGTGGATTGTCCTTAAGCCTCAGTTGCATCATCCCTAAAATGGGGATTCCAGTAGGACCTAGCCTCAAAAGATTGGTTTGAGGATTAAGCTTCTGAAAGTATATAAAGCACATAGCAGAAACCTGGCATGAAAGAGAGGTTGTCACTATAACACACTCTACAAGCAACCAAACCCTACACACTTATAACATTTCCCTGCTGCCTGCTGCCTGCTCCTGTCCAGACATGATATAAACAGGGTGAATGCACCATCCTCTTCCCTAATTTCTGGGTATTGCTTATATTGGTCTCTTATTCTGGAAGGCCTTTTCCTACCTATTGAAGTCCTATCCATCCTTCAAAACCCTACTTGAATTCCACCTTGTATATAAATTCTTTGCTGATCCTCCCAATTGCAATTAAACCCTGGATTCTTTGCTCTTCTGGAGGCCACTGAGTTCCCCAAATGGCAACATTACCTTTCCCCTCCCTATCATCCTCACTTTGCCTGAAAAGTTGATAGAACTCCATTTCTTTGGGCTAAGGTATATAAAAGTGTTGAAATGGTAAAAGTGACCTGGGAAGGATACACATTTTTCTACGTGGATGCATTTTTGGGTATCCCTAACACTGACATTTCCCAGCATCATGAGACCACAGAGCTGGAAGGGTTCCTAGAGATCATGTACTCACCCGCACATTTCACAGATGAAGAAAGGAGACCCAGGGAGCAATTCAGCCAATGTCACTCAGCCAGGCTCAGAACTGGGCTGCAGTGACCACCAGCCTAGTGTTCTGTGCACCCCGCCAGGCTCCTAGGGGAACAGGACAAAGCCTGACAGAAGTAGGTTGAGGGACAATGGTCACAGCATGGAGGGCTTCGCAAGAAGGCTGGCAGGGCAGCCACGAGAACAGGAGAGTCAAGGGCAACATGAAGACATGGGTCTGAAGAATGGCAAGGAATTGGGCAAATGGCTTGAAGTCCTGGAGGGAAATTATCTGCTAGCTTCATCTCTTTGTCCAGACTGGCAATATCCCCATCTATAGCCCTGGCCCAGCCACGAATGGCCACATGCAGGAAGGCATTCAGCAGGGAGTCCATCACCACTCTATGATTTAGAATGCAGGCCTTTTACCTTTCCTCATGGCTATACGGGTTCCTGTCCTCGGAAGACATCCTAAAGTCTAAACTAGCCACTACCAAGTGTAAATTAGTTCAACCACTGTGGAAGACAGTGTGACGATTCCTCAAAGACCTAGAGGCAGAAATGCCATTTGGCCCACCAATCCCATTACTGGGTATATATCTAAGGGAATATTAAATCATTCTGTTATAAAGATATATGCACGTGTATGTTCACTGCAGCATTATTCACAATACCAAAGACATGGAATCAACTGAAATGCCCATCAATGATAGACTGGATAAAGAAACTGTGGTACATGTAAACCATGGAATACTATGCAGCCATAAAAAAGAACAAGACCATGTTCTTTGCAGAGACATGGATGGAGTTGGAAGCTGTTATCCTCAGCAAATTAATGCAGGAACAGAAAATCAAACAACACATGTTCTCACTTATAAATGGGAACTGAATGATGAAAACACATGGACACTTGGAGGGGAACAACACACACTGGGGCCTGTGGGTAGGGGGTTGGGTAAGGAGAGGAAGAGCATCAGGAAGAATAGCTAATGGATGCTGGGCTTAATACCTAGGTGATGGGATGATCTGTGCAGCAAACCACCGTGATACATGGTTACCCGTGTAACAAAACTGCACATCTTGCACATGTATCCCAAAAGTTAAAATAAAAGTTGAAGGGAAAATAATAATAATAATAATAAATAAATAAATAATAGCCACATCAACTCCTCACCTCTCATCACTCTATTCCTTTTTTTTGCCGTACCTACTTCAGCTTCAATGTGCTTCTCACTACTTGAAATTAAGCTATTTGTTCATTCATTCAGTTTCTTTGTTTACTGTCTGTTCCCCCATGAGAAGAGAAGCTTGAGAGTTAGGAACTTTGTCTTTTCCTACTATGTACTGGGTGCTCAATAAATATTGGTTAAATGGATGAAAAAAAATGTCATAACCATCACAGGTTGTATTAATAGATATCTGTTCTTTCCTTCCTACTTTTTTGGTAGATTCATTCTGCTGTCTTTCTCTTACTTCTTAAGTCTGATACTTAGCTCAATCATTTTGGTCCTTCCTGCTCTTCTAGTGTAGGCATTAACTTTCTAAGGACTGGCTTAACTGTGTTCCCAAGTTTTGATTTACAATATGTTAAATATCATTCGGTTCCAAGTATTTTTAAATTTTCATTAATATTTTTTGACCCTTAAGTTGTTTGGAAGCATGTGTGGCTATGTGTGTGTATATATGTTTAATTTCCAAATAAGTGAGGGTTTTCTACATTTTATTTAATCTACTATTTCTAACTTCATTTGTGGTCTGAGACTGCAATCTTTTGAAATCTAGCATTATGTCCTAGCACTGGGGCAATCTGCATTAATATTCCATGTGTTTTGAAAGTCAGATATTTTTTCTAGAGCTGGGTGTCATGTTCTATATAGGTCCAGTTGATCAAGCTTGCTAATTAAACTGTTCAAATCATCTATATCCCTTCTTCCCTTCTGAATTATTATAATTTTTTAAATTATATTTTTAGCCTCTGGTTGTTTGCAAGTTAAAAGCTTTGGTGTATTCGTTAGTGCTACTCTTCCTTTTAATAGGACTATATTTATATGTGTAACTCTGATCAAATCTCTCCCATATTACCTGCTAATGTTTTGTAATAGTTTAATTTCTTCAGCCTCTTTTCCTACACCAACTAGACTTCATTTTTATTGCTTAAGCAGTTTTAATTTGGATTTACCTGCATCTTGCCTCACTATTTCTTCCTGTATATCATACTTTTCACTTGGAATAATTTTCCTTCAGCCTAAAGTCATCTTCCAGAATTTTCTTTGGCAATGGTCTTTCTGTGATAAGCTTTTCCAGTTGTGCTTTGTCTGTAAAAGTCTTCATTTTATTCACATTCTTAAACTGGAGTTTTGCAAGATAAATTATTGTAAGTGGACAAATTTTCTCTGAGCACACTGAAGATATTATTCCCCAGTGCAGCAGTTTCCTCTGTTCCTGATGAGAAGCACCCATCAGCCTCACCACCATTCCTTAGTGGATGATCTGGCTTTTCTCCCTGGCTGCTTTGTAAAAAAATCTTTTGTCCATTGATATTCTGCAGCTTGGCTATGGTGGGCCAAAGTGTACATTTCTTATTATCTTACTTAGATTGGAAGGGGGGCAGGTTCTAGAAAAAATATTGGTGTTTTACCATAACTCTGGAAAATTCTCAGCCATTTTCTTCTTCTTCTTCTTCTTCTTCTTCTTCTTCTTATTATTATTATTCGCATTCTAATTATTTCCTTCTGAAACACTGATTAGACAACATTTAAACTTGAGATGTCCAATATACTAGCCACTATCCACATGCAGCTATTTTAAGGCACTTCCATCACTGGAGAAAATTCCACTGGATGGGACTGGTAGATCTCATTCTATTCTTATTTTATTTTAATCTTTCTTTCGTCTTTTCTAACTCTTTGTCTCACAGGACCCCAGAATGAATGCTTTGTCTAGATCAATCTTCTGGCTCAAAATTTTGTTAGTCTGTTTAATCATTAATTTTTTTAAAAAATCCACCTGTTATATATATGTATGTGTATATATATATATGTTATTTCTAGACATTATATTTTGAGATAACACACACATGCACACACACATACACACACACACACACACACACACACACACACACCAAAAAATACTAAATATACTTTGTGGTGATACCAACCCAGGATCTCTTTAAATTATTATTTTTTTCTTTTTTGCATGAAGTGTCTTCAGCCCACACAGGTAGTATGAATTCAGACAGAAAGCTCACAAGTAACCACGGCTTATGGTTACACATTCTCACAGAAAAATCTCTTTTTCCTCTACCTAGCTCCTAGGGTTGCGGCAGAAAGGTGTTCTCAATGTCCTTTTCTGAATGGTGGAATTTATTTCCCATCAATCTAACAGGGACTTGCGCTCTCAGCTTGACACAGAGGTGGTGGAGTGGGGGGTGGGCTGTGTTTTTCTATTATATTCCTCACCTTGGAAAATCTAGATGTCCTGCCCCAGATGCCCTGTGAGGCTATCAAAACAAATGCTCAAGGACTGAAGTCTTCAAGGTTTGGCAGCAAGCTCTTGGGAGAAAGCCAACTTCGGTACAGTGTCCTCGTTTTTACTTTGTTTAAAATGCTATAATCCTGAGAAAAATATCAGATAAATCCACATTAAAGGACATCCAGCAAAATACCTGACCAGGACTCTTCAAAACTGTCCAGATCATGAAAGACAATGAAAGACTGAAGAACTGGCATAGACCAGGCCAAGGGAGACTGATGGGACAGAACAACTCAATACACCATGGACAGTACCCTGGAATGGATTCTGGACACTAATGGGAAAACGAGTGAACTCTGTAGAAAGTCTGGAGCTAACAGTGATGTACTAATGTTAATATGGAGGTTTTGTTTTTGTTTTTTGTTCTTTGTTTTTTTGAGACGGAGTCTTACTCTGTCACCCAGGCTGGGGTGGAATGGCACCAACTCAGCTCACTGCCACCTCTGCCTCCCGGGTTCAAGCGATTCTCCTGCCCCAGCCTCCTGAGTAACTGGGATTACAGGTGCAATACGGAGGTTTTGAAAAATATGTCATCTTAATGTAAGATAATAACCTTAGGGGAAACTGAAACTGGAACTCTGTGCTATCTTTGCAACTTTTCTGTAGATCTAAAATTATTCCAAAATAAAAAGTGTATTGGAAAAGAAAAACTCTGATGGTGTCTTACTTTCATTTCAGCTCAGTAGTGTATTTAAAAAGGCGTTTATGGCCTGGCGCTGTGGCTTATACCTGTAATCCCAGCACTTTTGGGAGGCCACGGCAGGTGGATCACAAGGTCAGGAGATCGAGACCATCCTGGCTAACATGGTGAAACCCCATCTGTACTAAAAATACAAAAAATTAGCCAGGCGTGGGGGCCGAGATCACACCACTGCACTCCAGCCTGGGCGACAGAGCGAGACTCCATCTCGAAAAAAAAAAAAGAAAAAGGTGTTTATATCTTTAAAGAAATAGTATTTTAGTTGTTTGATTTGGGAGGGTCCTGTACAGTATCCATCATACCAGCTATACCACTAGAAACAAAGCCTCTTCTTTGTTATTCTTTCCCCTTTAGGGAAGAATGGATCAGAATCATAACAACCAAATGAGTGAAAAGTTATGGAATCAGCGTAGGATATGCTCAAGGAATGAGGACCTAGAGAGTAAAAGATGTTTAAAAGAAAACAAACATAGCAGTTATAGAAAAGTAACACCAGTTCACATGGATCCATCAACAAGGGGAGGTTACTCAATAGGCCCACTTGGTATATATAAAAATAACATAAGGCAAAAGATATCAATACTTTCCTTGAATGGAGTTTGTTATGGGTCAAATTGTTTTTCCCCCAAGTTTATGTTGTTTATGTATTGAAGTCCTAATCCCCAGTTCCTTAGAATGTAAGATGATTGGAGACAAGTTCTTTACAGAAGTGTGGAGGTTTAAGTGACTCCATCTTGGATGCTAATCAGCCATGTTGGATTCTGATTAACCACAGTTCCAGGAAGGTCTCTAAGATTTCCAGTTCATCTATTGTTTCCTGCGTAAACTTAGGTACTTACTGTAAATCTTGCCCTTAGGTAAGACAACCTTGATGTTATCATACTTCAATTGTCCCACAAATCCGTTCTGAACCACCCCTTTTTTTATGGTCTACAAGCCCTGGGTCTGGGGGATAATGGTGCAGCGGTCCACCATCTTGTCTCGCCATCCCCTGAAACCCAGACATGGCTTCTGTTCATAAGTCCCAGTTCTTTCTAAGAAACTGGATTTGTCAGCCTCTTTTTTTAGCCTCTTAGCTTCCTTGGACTTTGGGAGTAGGGTTGCATAGACCTGCCCACCATGAAACAAAAAGTAATCAAGTTACAATGATTTAGAGTGGGCTCTTATCCAATACAACTGGTGTCCTTATAAGGAGAAATTTAGACACAGACATGCACACAGAGAGAACATCATGTGAAAATGAAGGCAGAGATCTAGATGATGAGCCTGCAAGCCAAGGAATGCCAAAGATTACCAGCAAACCACCAAAAGCTAGGGAGAGAAACATGAAATAGAGTCACGCTCAAAACGCTCAGAAGAAACCGACCCTCCTAACACCCTGATCTCAGACTTCCAGCCTCCAGAACTATGCAAGAATACACTTCTGCTGTTTAAGCCACCCAATTTGTGGTACTTTGTTATGGCAACCTAACAAACTAAAACAAAGTTATTCCCTAAAACTCTACACGAAGTCTTTGATTAGGAGGGCTAGCCAGCCTGGGTCTGCTGTGTGGCGATAGTTCAGACTACATATGCCTTAACTGTCTGGAGTAACCTGAAGGGGGCACGGAAGATGCTGTTCCCCCAGTTCATTTCCACCTGCTTCAACATTCCCAGAATTGGGCAATGTTCTCTTCTATTAATACTACAGTTCCACTCAGAGGTCCTGGAACACAATCAATAATTCTCCTCCAAAGTGCTTTCTACCTAAAAAAGCACGATGTTCTTATTGATGGTGTACTTAAAAAATGTTTTAAAGTAAATCTACAGAGCACCCTGGCTATTCAGATCCAGAAATTGATTAACCAATAGGATATAAAGACAGAGAGATGCTGCTATCTTTGGCAAGGTCGCACAGCAATTTGTAAGAGAGACTAAAATAGAATCAGCACCCCATTTCAGAGCCTGGTCAACAACTCAGATGACCTCCAGCAATTGATCTGGTCAGTCCCTCCAATTACGGGTCAATACATGAAGTCTTTAGACCCAGGAAATTCCTATTTCCTTTTTCAGCCCAATAAAGCCTAGTTCCAAGCCTTTACAAGTCAAGAAAATAAGATATGGGTTGCCCCAACATATACCCAATGAAGACCCCAAATCATGCAGCCTGATAGAGACTTGTTAGACTCTCAGACCTTCCAGCAGAGCAAATGGAATGTGTCCAGAACCAGACTCAATTCCTCTAAAGACATTAGATAGGCTTCTCCTCTATTGCCAAGTATCCCTTCCCTTTCTAAGAGCACAGCCCCTTCTCTTTTCTTCCACCCATGCTATAATATTAGAAGCAAAAGGGAAGCAAATGTTCCAAAGAATTCTGAACTAAAAAGCTTCCGATGTGGTGGGAGGGTGTGGAGTGAATGCATTATCTTGCACCAGTCACCAGGAATGGGTGTCAGCACCCATGTCAGAGGGCTGCCTGCACACAGCACCCATCTCTGAATCTGAACCCAATACCACCTCTTCTCCAGCTCAGCTTTCCCCAGGCCCTACACTAGACCCCCTCAGCACCAAGTGAGTGTCGAGGAAAGCACATGGGTTGTGGTCCTCTCAATATGTCTGGGCCCTCTTCCTTCTTTCCCATCCACAATGCTGGTGCCAGAGGCTCTCTTGGGCCATTGCCACAGCAGCTTATAAACCAGCACTGTCCGCAAGGGACACAATGCCAGCCACAAGGCAGACCACAGATAGCATTTTAAACTTAGTAGCAGTCCCTTTGAGAAGACTGAAAGGAAAGAGATAAAATAGATTTTAACAATGTGCTCTATGTAACTCAATATACCAAAAACATCATTTCAATGTGTAATCAATGCAAAATTATTAATGAGATAATTTACCTTTTTTGTGACATCTCCAAATTTTGGTATTTTAGACTTAACAGCACATTTGATTCAAACCAGCCACATTTCAAGAAGCAAATAGCCACATAGGTCTAGTGGCTGCCATATTGGACAGCATCAGGTTCAAGCATTCTCAGAGTTTCAAGGGATCTCTTATGGCTTCAAATCTTGGGAAGGCATAAGATTTTAGAGGACAGACATTTTCTCTTACACATCTTTTATATTTCCATTGGGGTCCATGAGAGAAAGTTCTAAGTTCCTTTTTTTTTCCCATTAAATTCATATAGAACTCAATTTCCTGCCCTTACATCTGTAGTTGTCTGCCTGAAAAGACTCCTTTCCCCTCTCCACCTCCCCATTTGCCTCAAGGCATCTATTTTTTTT
The DNA here is from genome assembly GCF_000001405.40 of Homo sapiens. Lineage (NCBI taxonomy): Eukaryota > Metazoa > Chordata > Mammalia > Primates > Hominidae > Homo > Homo sapiens. The sequence goes on from NC_000006.12 coordinate 14,582,907, forward strand.
CCTCTCCAGTTTAAAAGGCAATTCTTCAATGAACCAAAGCTGAGACAAGCATGGTTTCCTTGAAGCTCCAGGGAAGATTTATGCACTCTTCTGCTGTTGCACGTACTATGGTGCACTGCACTGCTTGAGAACATTGCTGTCTCCTCTGAAAAACTGAATACTTTTTTTTAAATGGGAATGTATCTTAACTCTGTATACCCAGTATTTAAAGGAAACTTTTTATTTAAGTATAATTTTTTAATAGCGATTTAATTCTCTTTGTACAATTAGTATCTCTCTCTCTCTCTGTACAATTAAGCTTTATGAAGGTTAGAGCTACCTCTGACTTACCCCAGTGATTAATGCACAACAGATACTCAATAGAAATTATTGGATGAAAAAATGAATACATGAGTTGATCATAAAGCAACTTACTCCTCTAGCAGGTATCTTTCTACTCAGCAATTCTTCTTGGAGCTATGTATGGCCCCAGAATATCAATACAAGTTCTGTTCCTTCTTCTAGTTGAATTTCAGATACTTCTGCCTATTAAGTTTCCCACATTATTTATCTTGTCAACATCTCCTTTTTCTCTATTTTTAAAAATTTTTTTTAATTTAAAAAAAAATTTTTAGAGACAGAGTCTCACTATGTTGCCCAGGCTGGAGAGCAGTGGCTATTCACAGGCACAATTATGGTGCACTCCCTGTATACCCAGCACTTAGCACAGGGCCTACCACAAGGCTGCTCATGACACGGTATCTCAGTTCCCCAGAATCAAATGATCCAAGAGAGAAAGAGAATGAAGGAAAGTGACCAAGACAAAAGCTACAGTGTCTTTCATAACCTCATCTTGGAAGTGACATGCAATCATTTTTGCCATATTTTATTGGTCACACAGACCACCCCTTGTCCAATGTGGGAAGAGTCCATACAGGTATGAAAATCAGGAGGTGGGGATCACCAGGGGTCCTCTTGGAGGCTGGCGATGGCCGTGGATATGGAGTAAGGAATGAAACACATGACTTCGAGACAGCATAAATCCCAGATGCAGTGCTCTATGGCACCTGAGTCACTGGCCTTAGAGACTATGCAACTAGCAAGTCAGACCCGGCCCATGCTCTCCACACATGCCCTCTTGCCACACGAATATTGCAGCTCAGTGTTTATGCCATTGAGTGATTTGCTACCCTTCTTCAACGTGGCCTCACGTGAGTCCATCTGGATAAGCCAGTCCCAAAGTCTGGGAAGTCAGCAACGTCTACCAGCAATGCATAAATGGACCTTAATAGGAATATATGCAGTTCAGTTTGCTGTGGTAAATAGATTCGTTTGTCAATTTTTTTTGTTTCAAATTTTTGAAGGCCTAATTCAAAGAGAAACCCATACATATCTAGGCTTTCTGTAGCTGAAAGCAATTAGCCACATAGCAATTGTAAAGAAACCTAAAGGGAGCATTTGGTTCACAAGTGGAAAAAAGATTGAAAATGTATCTCACCACAGGTGACAAAATTTAGGTAATAACAGTAGTAATACCAGAAGTTCAATACGATTTATTTTATATTTTAATGTTGCTTTATGAACCTAAAAGCCTTGGTAGGCAAATATTGTGTGAATTTCCTGAGACTGGAAAGCAAAAACCTTCGTCACCCTAATGATAAGTAAAAACGAGTAAGCAGTCTTGATATCCACACAGAAACACTATAACAGTGAGCCTTCAAGTGAAATTATTAAATACACGAACACAATGGGTGTCTGGGGCCCCACAGGTCCATCTTGTGGACACTGCTGGATTACCTACTGTTACAAGACTGTACTCCACTCAGAAAAAATGTTTGACCATAGATTGTAATGTTTACACATGCACGTAAAACATGAATGCAAATTTTTTTAAAGCATGCAATTAAAAAATAAATAGAAATTGGCTGGGTGCAGTGGCTCACGCCTGTAATCTCAACACTTTGGGAGGCCGATCGCGAGGTCAGGAATTTGAGACCAGCCTGGCCAACATAGTGAAACCCTGTCTCTACTAAAAATACAAAAAAATTAGCCAGGCGTGGTGGCAGACACCTGTAATCCCAGCTACTCGGGAGGCTGAGGCAGGAGAATCGCTTGAACCCGGGAGGCGGAGGTTGCAGTGAGCCGAGATCGCGCCATTGCTCTCCAGCCCAGGCAACGGTATGAGACTCTGTCTCTGAATGAATGAATAAATAAATAAATAAATAAATAAATAGAAATTATATATTTTTTCCTTCCCATACCACTTGTGAAACTCACTTTGGAGATTACTGTCTTAAACAAAATTTCCCTTCAGCTATTCTGTTACACTGTGCAGTAGACATGGCTGGCCAGAAGAGTTGGGACAGAGGGCTAGGAAAGGTGGATTCTCCCCTGAGTCTATTTGTACTTAAATCCACATAAGAACTGAGGAGCTCATGGAGGAAAAGGTGGATTGAACTCTAATACCCCTTGGGTTTCTAGGATATAGAAGCATGCCTAATGAATGAGAGAGAGAATTCCCAGGAAAGGGTGGAAGTTTTAAGGAGGATGGATGCTGTGGTGAGAGTATGTTGAGTTGATAGAGCCAGATTACACTGGGTCCAGGCAGTAAAGCTGGGTGAGAATATCCTTCCTCTTACCATGGAGATATCTCATGGATGGATTAACAAAGACCTACTGCAAGTGAGTGGAGGTTGCTGCTTGATGGGAACCCCATCCCTGAAGATCTATTAGGGTTTGAGCTGGAAGACCAAAGCTCAGCCATGCCAGGGTTAAGAGGCAAGTCATAACATAGAAAGCCTGAGAATCTCCACTCCCAAGCACCCAACACTGGAGCTTGTCTGTCACCTGCAAGGGTGACTGACGCTGAGGCTAGAGATGCCTAGTTCCTCTGTGTCAGAGAGAGGAGGAGCCTGTTTTCATGGAAAATGGTACCTCCAGCAGTACCAGCAATGTTCTCACTACAGAGTGAACCCTGCAGAAATTTCCAGCATGGGACTACTGTGTGGTCCTGGCTTAGCCAGCAGTGAAGTCATAAATGACCACAACTGATTTCTGGACACATGTTAATATCCCTAGGGATTCATGGAAAAAAATTGAGAAAAGAATCCTGGATGCAGTTTAGTTTTCTGCAGCCAGCAAGAGTATTTTTATAACCATGGTTTCATTTGTATGAGTGGGCAAGTGAGACTGAGACATTCCTATTACACACCTTAGATTGTCCTGCTGGAGCCACTAAGTGAAGCTGGAGAGGTTTAATACAAAACTGAGATAACAGAGTCATTGGAAAAATTACTTCTGTCTTAATTCAAGAGGAAAAGAAAAATATATAAACCTATTAAAATAATTTAGAGTCTTTGAAGCAAAGCAAAAAAGAAATTATACTATTAAAAAAATAGAGCAATGGGGTCTGGCCATCTCAGCAGATACCCTACTACATGACAAAATAAATAATGTAGTGGCAGTTAGTGCAATAGCTTCCATTTTAGAATATTTCAAAAATATCTGTGGGAAAAATAAACAATCCCATGCCTTCAGTGGAAGAGCTGAACCAAGTGTGGAAGCCAAGTAATCAGTTCCCAGCACAGAGGTGTCCACACACCCATTCTTCTCTCCCTGCTGAAATCTCACTAAAATATCAGCAAGATATAAAAAGCGGCTCAAGCCTACACGGCCAAAGAGACTTTGAGAGATGACAGTACACAATTGATATCAACAAAAGCTGAGAGCTGGAAGAGAGGTGAATTGCGGCTGAGTTAGCAGACCAGGGAGTGTTGAAATTTAAACCTGCCCCAGACAAAGCCACAAATACAAGATCTTGTTCCTTGAAGATTCCTGGAAAAACCCAGGTGTTTGGGTTACAGATCACACAGGAGGCCAGGATAACAGGAGAACTGGTAGAAAGATGTTGATGTGAGTCGGTTAAATGGGAGAATAAACAACAACAACAACAACAACAAAGACATGGGATCCTGGAAACAGAGAGTCTAAAACAGAAGAGAGAGAGAAAAAAATCAGGATGGTAGTGAAGAGAAACCACAAGAAAACACCTATGCTGCACCCCAAAAAGGCAAAACCCAAATTGGAGAAGAAAGACAGAGAGCTCTTGAGGAATGATGCCAAGAAAAGAGAGATGGAACTAAAAGAATAGTTGGCATGTTTAGGAATTAAGATTGTCAGCTGTATCAGATGGTTTAAGGATGAATTAATAATAGATACATGTAAAACACAAGCAAATAGAAAAAAAGAGGCAAATATTAGGTCCAAAGAAAATAAAAAGTTGTATAGAAAAGAAATATAATCATGACTCCCTATAACATGCACTATAATATCATGTAGTGAGCACTATTTACATAGCTGTGGCAGGCAGCTTAACGGCCTCTGTATTAGTCTGTTTTTGCATTGCTATAAAGAAATACCTGGGCCAGGCGCAGTGGCTCACGACTGTAATCCCAGCACGTTGGGAGGCCGAGGCGGGCAGATCACCTGAGGTCAGGAGTTCGAGACCAGCCTGGCCAACATGGTGGAACCCTGTCTCTACTAAAAATACAAAAATTAGCCGGGTGTGGTGGTAGGTGCCTGTAATCCCAGCTACTCAGGAGGCTGAGGCAGGAGAATCGCTTGAGCCCCGGAGGCGGAGGTTGCAATGAGCCAAGATCGCGCCATCACGCTCCAGCCTGGGGGACAAGACTGAGACTTCGAAAAAAAAAAAAAATCCTGGTAACTACCTAGGTAACTTATAAAGAAAAGAGGATTAGTTGGCTCATGGTTCTACAGGCTGTACAAACATGGTGCCAGCAACTGCTCAGTTTCTAGTGAGGCCTAAGGAAGCTTACAATCAATGGTGAGAGGTGAAGGGGGAGCAGGTGTATGACATGGCAAAAACGAGCAAGAGAGAGTGCAGGAAGAATTGGGCTCATTAAGCATCTAGCTCTCATATAAGCTAACTGAGCAAGAACTCACTCATCACCAAGGGGATGGGGCTAAGCTATTCGTGAGGAATACATTGCCATAATCCAACCTCCAACATTGTGAATCACGTTTCAACATGAAATTGTGAGAGGACAAACATCCAAACCATATCATTCCACCCCTGGCCCCCCAAATCCCATGTCCTTCTCACATTTCAAAAGACAATCATGCCTTCACAATAGTCCCCCAAAGTCTTAACCCGTTTCAGCATTAACTCAAAAGTTTCAAGTCTGAAGTCTCAATTGGAGATAAGTTCCTTCTACCTATGAGCCTGTGAGTTCAAAAACAAGTCATTTACTCCCAAGATATAATGATGGTGCAGGGAATGGGTATCATTCCCATTCCAAAAGGGGAAAATTGGCCAAAAGAAAGGGACAATAAGCCCCACACAAGTCTGAAACCCAACAGGGCAGTCATTAAATCTTAAAGCTCCAAAACCATCTCTTTTGACTCCATGTCCTGCAACCTGGTGCAAGAGGTAGGCTCTGCCCCTAGGGCATTCCAGGCTGCAGCCCCCTGTAGCTGCGCTCATGGGTTGGAGTCTGGCGCCTATGGCTCTTCCACACTGAGGTGGAAGCTCCCAGCTCTTTGATTCAGTAAGAAGAGTATTAAGAGAAAGTGTGCTGAGATGAAGAACAGGGGTTCTTAGATGGATGTCCTCTGGGAGGAGAGTCTGACAGCCCTTCAGAGCTGGATAATCCATCCAAAACAGGTAGTGAGGTCCATGAGACCAACAGAAACAGACAACTAATCAGGAGCTTGAAATAAGGGATAAGGTCTTTACGTTGAAAAGGAGATTGGCCAAGGAGAGAAGCAGGAGATGTCAGACCAAGCAACAGACTTTCTCCAGGAGCCTGGGGAAGATGCTCATGCAAGTGAAGCAGAGCTGGATGAGCTTAAAATATGGGCTACTTTAAGGAGAAGGACACTGGAGAAATACTTAACTGTTTTTACATACACTCATTGGACATATAACATAATGATGACAAATCTACAAAGCGACTCTTGTATTAATAGTATTGCATTAGTAGATTATCATTCGTACAATAGATGATGTTAATGCATGTCCTTGACTAAAGACCCTCTGCTAATCAGGCTACGGTAAGAAATTCCCATTCAAATTACAATAGCTATTATTATTATTTCACTCACTATAGTCTTGACATATTGTCTTAAAGTGGGCATGTATTTTAAGTTGTTGAAATTACAACAGTCTCAGGGTAGAAGTACTGTCTTCTGAATCAATGCCAGATTCCCATAAAATGCATCGCCAGCACCATAAGATTTTAGTATCCTATATGCGTTCTCCTCTAAGTTTGCCAAAATGATGATAATGATTATCATCATCTGCTCTCAATCGTGTATCTTTTCAGGGCAGCTTCTCTCATGAGAAGCTCATGGTGGTCTGCTGGGAACCGTTGCTCCAACCCTCTGCCCCACATCATGAAGAAATTGCTTAGCTGGAAAAAGAGCATAACAAAACGGAGGTTTCGAGGGCTTATCATTTCTGTTGGGTGGCCTCATCATTCACAACTGCCTGAGAAAGTGCAGACAAGAGAACAGGAAAAGGCCACCCATACTGAAGGGAGAGCAGATCTTGGGGCTGATATTTCTTACTTGCTTCACACGGCTCTTGGCTTTCTCTTGACGTGCTTTCAATCTCAGGTCATACTTTAGAGATGCCATTCCCTGCTCCCTTGCCTCATCAAATGCTGCCTTTCCTAGCCCAAGTATGATGTCTGATCTCTAAGCTTTGCCTCTCAGGTCTGGCTGCCCCTTCCCCAGGTCCTCTGATCCTACTTTCTCCTTTCTTGCTTCTTTGCAGTTGTGTTTCTCTGCTTTTCTGGCACCAAATCATCAAAGTACATTCAATGGTATAAGCACAGTAAGAACATTTGTACGTCTTCTTCTTGTACCTCCAGATCTATCTCTAAGAACATTTGTACACCCTCTTCTTGCACCTCCACATCTATCTGACTCCAGACAGCCTTTACTTTATTACTCAATACAGCATATCCTAGTATGCGATTTCCAAGCAGACATTCACCCAAGCAGACTGGCTCAACCCACTCTCCTATTTTTGTATTTGCCAACATCTACTAGATGGTTTTAAATAAAAATTACATTCCCCTGAAGGCCCTTCGATTCATGACAAGTATAAAAGTACAAATTTACCATCAGAGAATTACTTTCAGGGATAAAGACCCAAGTCAAGCCATAAACCATTTCTACATTGCTTGTGTAGACAATAAGCTCAGGCTTTTGGCCATAAACCCATCAACAAGAGAGGAGACAGAAGAACAGGGAATGGTTCCTGCCTTTGGGGACCTTAGTGAGTGTAGGGAAAGACCCAGAGAAAGAGCAGTGCATTGAACCAGCCAGAGTAACTCACTCTGGAAGTCTTTACAGAAGTCAAACACCTACTGGATACCCAGAGACTACATGTTGAGGCTGGGAAGAGGAGTCACATGAAGAAAATTATTCCTATGACCTCACTAAAGGAGAAATCAGAAAACAGTGGGAAGATTAAGCGAGTTCAACCTTCAGAAGTGGGCACAAGATCTTTGAGGCTTTCCTTCATGATTTCAGAAGGAATTTAAAACTACAAAGGATCCAGACAACATGGACTTTGTAAGATGCTGGACCATCTACTGCTTCTCATCATTGCCATTTTTGTGATGCTCTGTTTTCCCCTTGCGATTAGCAGTAAAAGCCTTAAAGACAAAAAGGTGTTTTGTGTTTGTCTTCAGAGGGTGTTAAGGAAACCAACCCCAAAGGACAGTGGCAGCTTCTGAGGGAGAGGGAAGTGTGTTGATTTCCTAGAGCCTGTTGCAGAAGGGGGAAAAAAAGACCTTGGGGATTGGAGTAGGAGTTTAGGAGAAGCCCCAGAGCTGCAACAGAAAATACATCACGGCATTCCTCCAAAATTGGCAACAGAACACGTGACTCTGCAACATGTCTTACACCATAGCACGAATAGTGCCACTTTCCCCTGGTTCTTGCAGCTCCTCCAGCAAGAAACTGCTTTTAGCTGGTGCACTTAAAGCCAGTTGGTGGCATAAAAACGCCACCGAGGCCCACTCTTCCCAGTCGTTGACTACATTCTGCTGGTAAAGTTAGAAAACTACCAAAATGTGCCTTAAACCCAAGAATACTTGGTGATCTGTCCAAGGCCAAAATAAACTCCTCACCTTCTTCTTCATTAAAAATTCACTGACTGTATATACTGAGGGTCCAGCTCAGTATACACACACACACACACACACACACACACACACACGGCTATTCTAATTGAGCAGTTGCATGGTATAATGGTTAGGAGCACTGGTTTTAGAACCAATCTGTCAGTATTCAAATCCTGCCTCTGCTACTTATTGGCTCTATGATGTTGGATTGGTTACTTAATCTCTCTGTAACTCAGTTTCCTCATCCATATAGTGGCGATAGGATTAGTGCCTTTCTCATGGGTTTGTTTTTCCAAGAAGAGGTACAGCTTCATCTGAGCTTGAGGAAGAGAAGAGCAGAAGAGAAAGAGAGAAAGACATGGTTCACTCTAGGCAGAGGATTCAGCCAAAGATACAGTAAAGCCAGGGGTAGAAAATTGAGAGACTCCTGGCCAGGCACGGTGGCTCACGCCTGTAATCCCAGCACTTTGGGAGGCCGAGGCAGGCAGATCACCTGAGGTCAGGAGATAGAGACCATCCTGGCTAACATGGTGAAACCCCGTCTCTACTAAAAATACAAAAAATTAGCTGGGCTTGGTGGCAGGTGCCTGTAGTCCCAGCTGCTCTGGAGGCTGAGACAGGAGAATGGCATGAACCCGGGAGGTGGAGCTTGCAGTGACCCGGGATCGCGCCACTGCACTCCAGGTTGGACGACACACACACACACAAAAAGAAAATTGACAGACTCCTTGTGGCATCTTGTGGCTTTTGTGATCCTCAATACTGACCACAGGAAGCACTGGCTGTGGAAATTACCTGCATCCCTAAAACTGGGCTTGAAGATTCCTTCTTTACAGGACCCAGTGTGGCTCACAAACTGAAGAGGAAAACTCACACACAGAAGAATGATGAACATCTTTGTGCTTGGAGTCCCATTACTCACCAAGTGCTCACTGAACACCCATGTGAGATGGCTAAATGCAGGACAATTAAAAGGGACAGTCTTGGTTCAAATCTTGTTCTGCCAAAGACTTAACCTCACTGTGCCAACTCTGTTCCCTTGGAGACTGTAATGGTTAATACTGAGCATCAACTTGATTGGATTGAAGGATGCGAAGTATTGTTCCTGGGTGTGTCTGTGAGGGTGTGACCAAAGGAGATTAACATTTGAGTCAGTGAAATGGGAGAGGCAGATCCACCCTCAATCTGAGTGGTTATCATCTAATCAGCTGCCAGCTTGGCTAGAATAAAGCAAGCAGAAGATGGAAGAGCAGACTTGCTGAGTCTTCTGGCCTTCACCTTTCTCCTGTGCTGGATGCTTCCTGCCTATGAACATTGGACTCCAAGTTCTTCAGTTTTTGGACTGTTGGACTTACACCAGTGGCTGGCCAGGGGCTCTCAGGCCTTTGGCCATAGACTGAAGGCTGCACTGTCGGTTTCCCTACTTTTGAGGTTTTGGGACTCGGACTGATCCACCACTGGCTTCTCAGCTTGCAGACAGTCTATCGTGGGACTTGACCTTGTGATCATGTGAGTAAATACTCCTTAATAAACTCCCCCTCATATATACATCTATCCTATTAGTTCCGTCCCTCTAGAGAACCTTGCCTAATACAGAGACCTACGTGATTCTGCTACAATACGATGCAGACCCAATGCTCAAACATATAGTTATTTATAGCTTCTCAAAGAAACTACACTCTCCTGCACTTTGCACTAGTGAGAGCTGTAGTGGAGCTGGAATTGGAATCCAGGTCCATCCGATGGCACAGTCTGTGGTCTTACACACCATGTTACAGTGCTGAGTGCATCACAGATGGTCAATGCATCCATCTCAACTCATCACACTTTCTTCCCTAAAACCTGGGAATGTGTCTCCTACACTCCCCGAACTCCAGTCTGCACCAGCAAATTGCAGGCCAGTTTCCCAAAGGACCAGAAACTGCTCCCAACATCTCGAGGAGAGGCTGGTAATTGTGTACAGAAACTCTATTGCTCTCACACACACAATTATCCAGTTTTCACATGCAAATATCAATCTGTACATGGGTTTCTCTGGTAAATGTCAACTTCATGGGTGCAATCCAGGTGCCCACATTTGAGAATGTGGCATAGAGAGGGACACTCAAGCTCTGAGTCAGTTATGGACTGGGATCGTTATTATAATTAGTCCCAATGGATATGTCTGTCATTCAGTAACAATGGTGGATGATTCGGCCTCATTCCCTCATCTCTCTACCCCCCCTTTCCCCACTCACCCCTTTTATAAGAAAAGTCAGCCATGTCTTGCTTAACTGTCCTCCCCACCCCCACCCCGTCTTTAAGATGAAAAGCCCAGATGTGGGTGACCCATCTGTAGTGTGTGTCACGTTTTTAGCATCTTCTTTATTTAGAGCTGGGAGAAAGGGACTCATTAGAGAGAGGAAGTCCACAATGAAATTAGGAAACATTTGATCAGACCATTGTCCCAACACAATATGTGCAATGAGGGAAACGTTGGTGTTGGCTGCAAACCCTGAATGTGTGTTTCAGCCTCAATGGCTTGCTCATCACTGACTTCCCCAGTGCTGACCAGAAAAGGGAGCCTGACAGCTCCATAGGTAGAAGCCGAGCTTCTGGAAGTGGGGAGTGTCAGTAGGGTAGGAAATTTCTCTTTCCTCTTATAGTTTCACTCTGCAGTGGAAGCAGGACTTCGAAGTCAATGGCAATTAGGACACCCTGGACCTTCTCCAGCCTCAGTCCTTCCTTGTTGCCTCAGCAGAAGCCTCTACACTGACCTGGTGGTGAGGAATGTCTTCTCCCAAAGCATCTAGCCCTGGGAAGCAGGTCTTTCTCTCAGCTTCCTGCTGCATGAAGGGCAGAGGTTTGCTACCAGGAACCAATGCCAAGGGCTCAATGCATGAAAACCACTCTTGGCCTTCAGTTCTGTTTCTGGTAACTCAACTCTTTTATGAAGTAGAGCAGAGGTCAGAAATATATAGGTTCCCAAACACAGGCACTGATGGTGCATTTCGAGCTCTGGAGAAACCACTTGGCTACAAGGACGTCCAATTATATCTTTAAATATGTGATCTGCATTGCATCAAAATCAGCCCAATAAATATTATACCAGCAGAAATTAAGCCTCCAAAGCCCAGGCTGGAGCCCTGATTTAAGAAAGAAAAGGCGGATTTTACAGAATAAAGATGCAACTCTAGCCCTGGCTTGGTTATTGGCTCTCGGCAATTAGAACATTTAGCCTCACTTGTAACAGAATTCAGAGTTCTCTTACCTTTCAGAAAGCTGTTGTGGAAGTATAATACAAGGACAGTTCTTAAAGAAATCTGGAAAACTAAAGCATCATATGAAAGTAAAGTGTGAGTTTTATTGCTGTCAGGCCTCACAGCAAATCCTCTGCCATTTGTTGGGTTAGAATTCATTCCCCATCTGGTATTAAATGCATTGTCTCTTCATCTTCTTAAGTGGCATAAGAGATTTGCCATTCTCAAAAGACATGGAAAATCCATTTCTTGGCCCAAGTTACAGAGCACAGTTAGGATTGAGCTCATGAACTCAAATAGAAGCAGTTGACTAAACAGTTTAATCCAATTCAGCATTAATGGATACCAGCTTAGCATCTGGCACATAATAGGTACTCACTATGTACTAGCCGAATTAATTAACTAATTTAAAAGTACATAAAGAAAAATCCTATTAAAAATGAAGCCAAAATTACTTATCAAATACTTAATGTCAATGAATACCTCGTATGTACACACCTCTGGTTTTTAATTTTTACCTAATACATAAATTGAGTCAGAATTCCCTTATTCATAAGTCAGTTATCCAGCACCTTTCTCTGTGTAGAATGTTGGTTAGCAAGCAATTAACAAATAAAGATCATGGTACTATTTAATCTTATTTCACTCACAATTCCAACAAGTTTATCTCCCAAACATCAATTAAAAGAAGAGAGAGGAGATAATATACAGAAGCATGAAGAAATTAGTGAAAGTGACAATGGAAAATATAGAAACCAAATGATGTGTCAGGAAAATTGGAAACACACATGTAAGAATTATGAGTCTGGGGTAAATAACCCCATAGATCTCCATAAGCCTTGGGGACATCATTGTATTGAGTTACTTTGAAAATGTAGTATTCAAATCCAAGGTTTTTTTAATTATTGCATTAGTCATGATAACACTGAAAATAACTTAACCTTTTCTTAATAACTCACCATACTTTGTTTAAAAGGCAGAAAATGTCTGTGATATATTTTAGTGGATCCATGTGTTAAACATAGAGGCTGCATGAGGGATAGTTATAAAAGTATCTTTATTTTCATTTTCTGCTATCCCTTTAAACCTGTTCTGTGGAAGTAATGATTTCACTGCCTCTTAGTGAAAATTCAAGAACTCTTCATGAGTTTTCTAATTCTCATAGGCAAAGTCTTATAAGTCATGAGCCAGGTACGAGTTCCTTGCGCCTTTGGCCTACAGAGGTCTTTTATCAACTCTAAGCAGTCTGGTGTGGAGGCTGTTCCCTTATTTGCGGTGGGGGGATTGCTTTTCTAACATTCAAATGCCTCACTCTAACATCCCCCTTCTTAACCTCAGCCTAGGTGAGGAATGTTGGAGGAGAGGCACAGAAGCTGTGCGGTTTCAGGAGAGTTTCTTTCAAAATTTCCGACTTGATGTCCTGTCTCTCACCTCACTTTGCTATCTGACATCTCTTATATCTTGTTGCCTCAGTCAGTCCAAACTCCTAATTTAACACTGGATTACATTAGAAACTTTCCACCTAGAATAACGTAAATTGGGAAAGGGAGTTAGATTTTTAATGGGATAACCATTCAACATGCATAGTTACTCATTCACCAAGGGGTTTTTGATGGCTTAAAAAAAAAACACCTATATTTGGAAACATCTGGATTTTTGAGAAGATGTTTCCAATTTAAATCCAGATGTTTGTGATCTTGTAAGTAGCCAAAAGTTGGAAAAGTAAATTACAGTACAGTAGAAGAGCCCTGTTTTTGCTATTATTATTTAGATGTAATCTGACTGCATATGAAATTATATATCGGAATTCTAGATCTAAGTCTAGAGTTGGACACTGAACTTCTCTGTACCTGAAGAAAGCTCCTTATGCCTCTGAATTCATTTTCTTCATAACCAATAAAGAGATTTATGTTCTGTATTCTGAGAATCCAATAATATAGGTAGCTATTGCAATTGTGAAAAATGTTTTGTTCTGAATACCAACAATAGAAAAGTGCAATTTATACCAAAGAACTTATGTTGGTTTTGCAACATGTTAAAAAATTATTTGATACTCCTCCTTTCAAAAAGTAGAGTCTAATTCTTCTTCCTTTAAGTATGGGCTGTACTTAGTAACTTGCTTCTAGCAAACAGAATATAGAAGAAGGCATGGTATTTGACCTCATGATTAAGACATAAAAGGCATTGAGGCTTCTTCCTTATTCTTTCTTAGATCAGTCCCTGTGGGAGACGCCGGTTGCCATGTTGCGAAGATACTCAAGCAATCCTATGGAGAGGTACACATTGTGAAACACCGAGGCCTCCTGCCAATAGCCAGCATGGAGCTGGGGTTTCCTGCTAACCACTAAACAAGAGTGACTCATCTTGGGGGCAGGCTCTTCAGCCCCAGTTAAACCTTCAGATGATCAAAACCCCTGTTAATAGCATGGCTGAAAACTCATAAGAGATTCCAAACAAGAACCACTCAGCTGAACCTCTTTTATGTACCTGACCCACAAAAACCACACACTGACAAAGGTCTGTTGTTTTAACTAAGTATTAGAGTAATCTGTTGTGCAACAATAGATAATTAATACAGAGTTGGTCAGATTTTCTAATCTGTCTATTATGAGAATCAGCAATACTCATGAAACCAGTGATAAACGCACACACACACACACCTACTCACTTTTTTTAATTGAAAGAATAACATTTTCAGATTTTGCCATTGAAGTTCTACTTTAGAAACAATGCCTGAATCTGACCCTTTTAAATAAATAACTTGTCAAAGGTGCTGCTTATATGCAACAAATTCATGTGCTAACTAAAATTATTTTAAATGGGTGGTATAAGCACAGATTTGCATTACTCTACACTGTGCTATGTACATGACTGTCACTAATAAACTTCTTGACACTGCATCTAAAGTTACTTCTAGATGCTTCTTGCATTGGCTCCTTTTTATAAGGACATCAATTTCCTTTTTGTTTGGGATCTTACGTTCAAAAAGGGAAGTAGACGCATGTTTATTATGAAGAGGAAACCTATCTTTTGTGAGAGTGAAATTTAAAAAATCACACTGAGGACGTTAAATAATGCTTGTGCAGCAAAGATCATAATGACAGCATGCATCTGTGGAGAGTTTACAAGCACACATACTTACTTAAGCCTCCTAGCAGTCCTATAAAGTAGGCATTATTTTTCCCATTTTAAACAGGCAAAAACGATTAATGTGAGAATTGTCCAGGACTTACCACCACTTCCAGACCACCAAAGGTAATCCTCTCAGTGCAAGCCCAAATTCTCCTTTTTCTTTTCTCCTAACGATGTAGAATCCTTTCTGGAAAGGGACACAGGTTGAAATGCTAAGGTAGGCAAGTTGGAGTATAATAAAGTCTCATCAACTACAGTTAGGAGGGTGTTAAGGAGAGAGAGAGATATGAAAGCAACAGTGGGGTATGAGGGAAGAGAAATTTAATGTGTTCTATGGGCGATTTATTTGCATCTCCTTTAATTTCATTTGTGAGATGTGAGAAATTAATAGAATCTGTTTTAATTATTTTTGCCTGTTGAACTGTGCTTTTTCAACATATGACTTTAAAGCTTTTGGATTTTAAGGTGGCACATTTGAGAATGTTAAGGTTCAGAAAGTAGAAATGAGCTTCCCAAGAATCCAGATTTTCTAACTGAAGTGTTTTTTCCACTTTGTCCCTTAGCCTCCTTGTTCATCTATTCATGCAACAAATAGTAACTGGTCACATAATGGACTCAGGGCCTTATCCTAGGCCTTGAGAAAATAACTTAGCTTAAAGGTACAAAAACTCTCATTTCGAAACTTAGCAAAAGAATTACAGACCTGAATTCAGTCACCTTTGGGTCAGATTATTCCCATGCTTGGGATAAACAACTGGGTGGGCTCTTTAATTACCCAAATGCAAAGCAAACACCCACCGTTATTCAGAGCCAAAGCTGTGAAGTGACAGTAATGCTGTTTTAGAATGAGAACAAAAGCCTTCTCGAATTGTAAATTTTTACCTGTGGTTGAGCCAAAGCTTTTGGTAATTTTTTGTTGTTGTTGTTGTTGTCATCCTGCTTATCTTTCTAGAGAATGTGTGGCAAGACTATGCCTTTTCTCTATGTAGATCTAGGGTACCCTGTACCAGTAAACCTTTGTTTCTCTTGAAGAGAGACAGACATTCAGGAGTCATCCTAACTTTAGGATAAAAGGAGAACTGTAAACAGGGCTCTTTGTGGTTCAGGCTGTACTAGGATGTGGGTGTCCTGCACACTGTGTTATTTAAGAACAAATAAAATACCCCTTGGGAAATCTATTAATGTTAGAATACTGTGTTCTAATGTGCTTACCCTGTTGAGGTTATTTCCACTGTCTTGGATGGCGAAATGTGGACATGGGAAATAACCTCAGGCTGGGCTGAAGAGGAAACCAGTGAGCATTACTCTCCTTATTCAGGCTTCCTGCATTCCGCTTGACTACTCACCCCATCTTGAAATTCTCTCCCCTCTTGGGTTCTAAGTTGCTGCTGTTTTTTGGTTTTCCTCCTATATCGCTTGATGCTCTTGTTCAAACTTCTTTTCCAACCTTCATTCTCCACCCAAGTTCACTTCTCTCAGGACCTGGTTGTGGATCTTTCTCTCTTCTATAGCCTCACTCTCTCTCTGCTATCTTATCCATTGTCGGGGCTCTAAATACCATCTATATTTTGATGATGCCCAAATTTATATCTCTGGCCCTCAGTTTTTCCTTGAACTCAATACCTGCATGTCCAACTGCCTTCTTGGCATGGCCACTTGACTACCCAATAGGTCTCTCAAATTAAACACCAAAGAGGAACTCTTGATTTGTCCCAAACTCTATTCCTCCACCAATATTCCCCTTCTAAGGAAATGGTGCCTTTAACCACTCATTTGCTCAACTAAACGCTGGAAGTCAAATGAATTCCTTCCTTTTCTTCCTCATTCGTAACAGATCAGGAAGTTGCATTGGTTTTATCTCCAATACACATCCACTTCTTCTCGTCTCTGCTTCTAACACCATTGTATAAGCTACCATTATATTGCCTGGGCTGTTGCAATAGCCTATGGGTGTCTCTACTTATTATATTGGTGGATTACTCCACTATGTTTTCAGCAGTCGGAGTAAACTTTTAAATCAGTTTTATCAAATCATGGCCTCTTTTACTTAATATCTCCTGCTGCCTTAGGAATAAAAACCAAACTCCTCACCATGTCCACAAGCTTCTGCATAATCTAGTGCCCACCTCACTTCCCAAACTCGTTCCATTTCATCCCACTCTCCCCCACTCCTGCCATAATGTCTTCTTTTGGGTGAAGGAAAGCCACACCACCTTACCTCCGGTGCCAGAACAGTGATGGCAACACCATTCCAAGGGAAGTGGGTAGTCCTGGACCTGTTGGGAGACAGCAGCAGGAACTCAATGTGGATTCTGAGGAAGGAGAGGTGGGGAGGTGGAGGGGGGTCCCCAGCACAGGCTTAACCTCAACCGAGCTCCATGAACATGAGACGCCATGAGATGCTCCAAGAGCAGTAGAGAGGCCAGTCGACACCAGGGGCTGATTGAGGCTGCTACCAATGACATGGGGCTCCTACCCATTACAATCTGCAGTATTAATGGAAATGTGACCTCATCACTGGGTGACAAGTACCTAAGACATACCAGTGCTTTTCACCAATGAATTCAAGAGCCTCTACCCTCAAGGACTTTCCAGTATAATAAAAGAGGCAGACAGATAAATAATTACAATACAGTATGAGAAGTGCTCTCACAAAAATAGCTGCTAAGAGGAAAGATGGCACAAAGGTATCGTAGAGTAATACTCACTAGAAGGTGGCACTAAGCAGACAGGGCTATGGAGGATTCTTCCCCTGTGGCTGAAAGCATGAACCCATTTGGGTTTCTCCCAGGAAAATTTCCAGGTGATCAAATTTTAGATTTTAGTATTTTCAGAAAAATTAAGACTAGTACTATGGGTAGAGAAATGAAGGAGACCATCTTTACCAGATGGTGCTTTTGACTTCAGAGTGCCATGAACGTGTTAAAGTTCTAAATTTCTTTTCAAGAATCATTATGTCAGTATGTTCAATTCTTTGCCTTCTACTTTTAAACTTAACTTCCTCATAAAGCAACCTTTTTCGATTACCTGCTCCACCCTGACTCATTCTGATTACCTGCTGTGTCATAACCGTTTTTCCCGCCAAACCACTCACCCCGTCACTCTCTTTAAATTAGTCAATCGGAATTAGTTTAGCCTGTGTGGTCTAACCCTAGCCAATAGGGGAACGACACAGAAGCAGAGGTCAATTGCATCAGGGATAAGAAACCCTTCCTCTCCTTTATCCAAGTGTGTGCTCACCATTGCTCCATCTGTAAGAGCGCACCCTTCTATAGAAGTAACTTGCCTTGCTGAGAATTAAAAAGAAAATTTTATATTCAAGTGCTATTTCTTTTGTAGCACCGAAACTTTATTTATAACAAAAGCATGAGTTTGCAGTTGTTACCACAGAAAATAAAAATCCACGTAAGTCGAGGTATATTATCTTTGTGTTTATTTTTTAGTGTTATGCCAATATTATTAATATTATTACTTTTGTGGGGGAGGAGTATATTTTGCATTACAATCCCTGAAAAACAAGGAGCCACCAAAGGGAGTAGTGGAGGCGTCTTCATCACATAGTGTAAATGCCATCCTTTGAGTGTAGCAGGAAGGTGGGCACAGATGATCAGAGAAGCGCTCCAGAAGACAAGAGATGTCGGCAAACTTTGTTTTCCTTTTTCTTCTCTCTGGTCCAAATGATGTATTGGATTCCTATGCCTATTTTCCCCTTCTGGGAAAGTTAAAAAGAAAAACTTCTTCTGGATATCTGTGGCTCTTCCCCCTCAGAAAAGCCAAACAGGCTTGAGGAGCTAAAACGTGGTGCTTTTCCTGATGCCTTTGGAAGGTCACTTCTGGACCTACCTCCAGAAACCGCTCTACCCTTTTCCAAAGCTGCCTTAACGGGGCGGCTTTTCCAGTATCCAGGTGGGTTCATCATCTCCGTACACCAACCACTTGCTAATGATAAGGAGCACAATTAGATTAGTTTTGTGGAGGCAAGAATCGATATCCCGGTGTATGTGGAGCCTATTAGACATTGCTAATTAGAGCTCTCAGACATTAATCAAATACCACGTATGGGGCTAATCAGCCAATTCGGGCAGTATAAAAATCTATAATGTCCCAAGTCTCTCCTTGAATGTTCCAACCTGGTTCACCTTGAAACCTGACCTGAAGACAGAAATCCCTGCCGGAGGTCTGCAACAACTGGGCTAGGAGGCTGTGCCGTTTCACAGCTCCTGAGCCTTCTGGAGCAGGAGGCCGACGTGATGTCATCAGGCTCCTTCTTAAACAAACACAGGCTCCATCCTGCAGCCTTGACACCCTTTTCATTGACTCTGTGGCAGCTGTGGCTCTGTGCCAGCTGCAGGCTGGACCCAGAGAGGCAGACCAGCACCCCAGGCCTGAACGATAAATAAAACTAAATGCTAACTAATATATTATTCATGTAATAGCCCAATTGCCCATCATGCTACGTACTTGTATTCATACAATTATTCCTGTGTGTTTAAATAATGAATGTTAGGTTTGTGTTTACTAACACAAATCACTGATTAATCTGTATTCAAGTCAAACACTGCCTTATAGGAACACTTTGAAATACTGTACTAGATCAGTGTTCGCCTACTAAATTTAGGGATAGTTGCTATAATGTTAATTCTATAGCATGTGATTGAGTTCTTTAATTTGACAAAATCTATTGGATAAACTGAGCTTGAATAAAGAGTCTGTTGATAATGCCGGGCAAATCCAGATGTGATTTAAGATTTATGGAACGTGTTAGAAATATTTTCAAACACCTATGTCCTTAATTCCTGATTCCTTAATGCTTCTGAATGTTACCTTGTAAAAACCTATTTTTTTTTGCCCAATAAGCTCTTTCGAGGTCCCCATAATCTCCTTTAAAAAGATATTTTGCTAAAAGCCACAACATGTGTTCGTGCTATCATTATAATTTTCCTTCAGAAATAGTAAGCTTTCAATGAATTCCATTCCCAGAAGTTCATATGAGAGTTGAGATTCACAGCCTCCAAGAACTGGTCAGTTTTTAGGCTCTAAAGAAGCATGTTCTTCCAACCACTGTTAGCAGTGAAACAGAAATGCAGTTCCTAAGATTGAATTATAGGATACTGAACAGTACTGGAGGAAAGAGTCACATAATATAGGAAAAATAAGCATGGGATCAAATCTTGACTTGAATCCTGATTCACAACATCCTAGTTGTATGATTTGGATGCGTGTTTAATATCTCTGAGCCTCCAAGATGAGGACAGTAATGCCAAAGGTCATAGGTGGTTCTGAAATTGATAGGAGGTAATACATATGAGAGCACTTGGGAGAATGTCTCTCTGCAACCACACAGCCAGTAGATGCTGGTTCTCTTGGCCTCTTCCCTTAATTCTGATTTTATATATTATGATGTTCTAGAAAGCAGGAACTGCATCTTCTGCATCTTTGTACCCTCGGCACCTGGCACTTTGGGGGCACAGAGTTTATTCAATAGCTCATAATTGAGCCACAATGAATCAACAGAAAAGTCACTGAGAAGATATTTTTGGGGACATGTAAATGTTTCTTTACCTTCCTTCCCAAAAGTCAATATCGGATAGAATCTCCAAGAAAGTAATTTCCAGAAATCAGAGGAATAGTTCAGAGGAGCCAGAGCATATTTCTTGATATGGTTTTGATTTGTGTCCCCACCCAAATCTCACGTCTAAGTGTAAATCCCCATTGTTGGAAGAGGGGACTGGTGGGAGGTGATTGGATAATGGGGGCAAATTTCCCCCTTGCTGTTCTCATGATAGTAGTGAGTTCTCAGGAGAACTTGTTGTTTAAAAGTATGTAGCATCTCCCCCTTCTCTCTCTTCCTCCTGCTCCAGCCATGTAGGACGTGCTGGCTTCCCCTTTGCCTTCTGCCATGATTATAAGTTTCCTGAGGCCTCCCCAGCCATGCTTCTTGTACAGCCTACAGAACCATGAGCCAATTAAACCTCTTTTCTTTATAAATTACCCAACCTCAGGTATTTCTTGATAGCAGTGCAAGGACAGACAAGTACATCTCTCCTATAATTTCTGGCTTTGAAGAGTGTGGTTATTGAAAAAAATTTATCTCTTGTACTTCTTCCTTTCAAAATTTTGGGGATATCCATGCATGGAAAATGTAAGGCAGGGAAGAGAACATAAATATGACAGGTTTCCCAAATATTTATTCTAAGAACTAAAAGCTATGGGTAGACCATTGGGGAAAATACAAAAGTGGAGTATGGAACACAGATGTTGGAAGAAGGGCACAGCTTACAAACCTTTTAAGCAAGGGATGTTATTAATATCTGATATGATTCTCAAGATACACATATCAAGTGGGAAGCACTTCAGTTAGATTCCTTGAGTTTGGATCAGAAATACACCACGAGCTTCTGCTTAATTCAAGTCTGAAGAGGACTAATAAAAGTGCCATGTCCCTGCAAAGCATCTTCGCCACCAAAAGGCAGTGTACCCATAAAAAGGGCCAGCAGTGAACTATCAGAAGCTTACCTAAGGCTAGGTGTGGTGGCTCATGCCTGTAATCCGAGAACCTTGGGAGGCCAAGGCAGGTGGATCATCTGAGGTCGGGAGTTCAAGAACAGACTGGCTAACATGGTGAAGCCCTGTCTCTACTAAAAATACAAAAATAGCTGGGCATGGTGGCGAGCACCTGTAATTCCAGCTACTTGGGAAGCTGAGACAGGGGAATCGCTTGAACTCGGGAGGCAGAGGTTGCAGTGAGCCCAGGTCTCACAACTGCACTCCAGCCTGGTCAACAAGAGTAAAACTCTGTGTCAAACAAACAAACAAAAAAAGAAGCTTACGTAAGAGACTGGCCTTAGAACAGGGGCATAAAATACAATTGAGACCATGTCTTTCTAATTAAAAACAGTATTTTTACTTCTTAAAACAAGCAATTTCAGTACAACATAATTTTTTAAATTGGCTTCTAACATTTATAGTGTCTGCAAGTCATAATGATTTGAAATCAAATTCCAAATCAAATTTGAAAAACTTTACAAAATTTAGATGATATGTCAATTATTTATCATGGTATTATTTAGCATTTTCCTATCCCCAACCAAACCCCACTGTGACACTTCTTTGCATGCAAATTGGCAAGAAAGACGGCCCACCACAAAGCGTTCGCCTGCCAACTTCTACATTACTGATGGTCTCAAATGAATTGTCATTTTTTCACAATGATTCTTAATTTAGTTAATGATAAGTCTTTATATTAAATTTGAATAACTGTATCATCTCTTTCCATGTGTGGAATTATCAGGAATTAACTCTCAATTCTGAAAATACTAGGAGACCCCCGATAAGCTATGGCCTCTTCCAGAAATTCTAGAGTGGTAGAAATGTTACCAAGCCACGTCAGAGACGACCTGGCAGCTAAGCCCTTGCTACAGTGGTTGTTCCCACATTATTCAAATGGATATGGGCTCTGCAAGTCACTTTGTGTTCCAGAAGAAAAACAACAGATGCTGATGCACAGGAAGCAGAAATGGTTGAATTTTTCCATAAAATCTAAACCTCTGAATTCATGGTTTTATTCTGAAACACCTTGTCCAGTGTTGTCCCTGTCATGACTCTCTCTTCATTAGACTCCATCATCCCAAGCCAATTCATATATACGACCCAAATTTCCTGTAATGAGGGACTGCTGATACACAAACACTGCACAGCTGTGTTAAGTCTCAAGTTATTGAATTAGGTTGGCATAACTTTAAATATTAAATAAGCTTCCCAGCCCCTAGTTATTGTCACTCACTACGGGAGACACATGTCATCTTATCTGCCCAACATCATTTCTCCTTGTCTGAGAACAGCACCTCTTTTTCCTTTGGATAATTATCCGTCAATCCTTGTATTGCTGGGGTACCTAAGGAGAAAATGGCCCCCCAAGAACGGCCAGCAGAGATCTTCCCTAAATTTTATATGTGGACACTGAGAGGAAGGTAATCTTTTTCTCTGAGCATCACTATCTGGCTTTATGAAGCCTGGAGTTCTCTCCCCCTACCCAACCTTGG